>NC_000016.10:60623106-60926136 GCF_000001405.40 Homo sapiens
AGACATAGTGTTAGGACATAAAGATTATGAAGAATCAGGGAAATATGACACCAATAAAATACACTAATAAACCTCCCATAATGGACCCTTAGGAAATGGAGAACTATGAAAAGACCGACAAAAAATTCAGAATAATCCTTTTAAAGGAATTCAGGAAAGTATAAAAATATATAAATAGAAAACTAAATAAAATTTGGAAAATAATTCATAAAAATGAGAAGTTTGACATAGAAACAATGAAAACATCCAAATAGAAATTCTACGTATAAAGAATACAAAAACTAAACTGAAAACAATGTAACAAAAAGCTTCAACAGCAGTCTTGATCAAGCAGTGTGAATTATCAATGAGCTTAAATAAAAGATATTTGAAATTATCTAGTAAGAAGAACAAAAATAAAAAAGAATAAGTATAAGAAAGCATCAAGAGACGTAATCTTAGCTTAATAAAAGTTCCAGAGAGAATGGTGTGAACCCAGGAGGTAGAGCCTGCAGTGAGCCGAAATTGCGCCACTGCACTCCATCCAGCCTGGGGACAGAGTGAGACTCTGCCTCAAAAAAAAAAAAAAAAAAAAAAGAAAAAAAAAGAAAAAAAAAGTTCCAGAGAAATATAGAGTAAAAGGCTCAGAAAACAAATTTAAAGAAATAACGACTGAAAATTTCTCGAATCTGGGGAAAGACAACAATATCCAGGTACAGAAAGTTCAGAAATCTCCAGTGAAATTCAACCCAAAGAGGAAGTCACAATGAAATACCATAATCAAATTATCTAAAATCAAAGTCAAATAAAGAATTCAGAAAGCAGTAACAGATAAGAAACATCATATTCAAAGAAGTCACAATACAGTTTAATCTGCTGATTTATCAGTAGAAATCCTACAGGCTAAGAGAGAATGGGTTGATATAATCAAAGTGCTGAAGAAAAGCAAAAAAACAAAAACTGGCAACCAAGAATACTTTACCTAAAAAAATCTATCCTTCATAAATAAGGGAGTCATAAACTTCCCCAGACAAACAAATGCATAAGTAGTCTATTACCAATAGGCCTTTCTTACAGAAAATGCTACAGGAAAAAATTTAAGCTGAAGCACAAGGCTACTAATTAATAACATAAAACATATGAAAGTAATGAAAAAATCTCAATTATATATGTAATACATAGTTATATTCAGAATACTCTAATACCATAATGGTGTTATGTAAAGGGATATTCTTTCTACCAGGAGATTTAAAAGACAAAACTGTATTTGTCTTTTTATTGTTTCTATTTATATTTAAAAAATTTAGCTACAATAAATTATTAAAAGATACAAATTACAAAAAAATATAAATTTTGACAGTATCATAAAAGGTAAGGAAGAGGGACTAGAGGTACAGAGTTTTTGTATGCAATTAGAGTTAAGTTATCAGTTTAAAATAGCATATTATATGTATAGGGTGATTTATGTTGACCACATGGTAACCACAAATCAAATATGTATAGTAGTGGCACAAAACATAAAAAGAGACTCAAGGCATCCCATCACGAAAATCACCAAAACACAAAGGAGGACAGTAAGAGAGGGATAAAGAAGCAAAAGATTTATGAAGCAACCAGAAAACAAATTAAAAAGTGGTGGTAGCGATTTCTTACCTATGCATAAATACTTTGAATGTAAATGGATTAAAATTCTCCAATAAAAAGAAATAGAGTGTCTGACTAGATTAAACAGGAAACTTCATGTTGCCTATGAGAGACTCACTTTATTCATAAAAGCACATGTAGACTGAAAGTGAAGAGATAGAAAAAGATACTCCACACAAATGGAAATCAAAAGAGAACATGAATAGCTACATTCAGACAAAATAGACTAAGTTGAAAACTGTAAACAGAAACAGGGTAATTAAATAATGATAGACATAACAATTATAAATATATAGGCACCCTACATCAGAGCACTTAAATATATAAAGCAATTATTAAATGATCTGAAGTGAGAGGTAGATTACAAGACAGTAATAGTAGGGGATCTCAATACCCCATTTTCCACAGTGTACAGATCATCAAGTCAGAAAATCCATAAGGAAACATTAGACTTGAATTAAACTTTAGACAAAATGGACCTTACAGATATATACAGACATTCCGTCTGAATATACATTATACTCTTGTGCACATGGAACAGTCTCCAGGATGTATCATATATTAGGCCATCAAACAAGTTGTAACAGATTTTAAAAGATTGAAATCATATCAAGATCTTCTCCAAAAATAATGGCATAAAACTAGAAATAAATGACAGGAGAAATCTTGGAAAATTCACAAATATGTGGAAATGAAACAACATGCTCCTTAAAAATGGGCAAGAGAAGAAATCAAAAAGGAAATATAAAAATATCTCAGGGTCAATGAAAATGGAAATACAACCTACCAAAACTTATGGTATGCAGCAAAATTAGTCCAAACAGAAAAATGTATAGCAATAAAGGACATCAAAAATATCTCAAATAAACAATCTCAAGGAAGTAGAAAAAGAAGAAATTAAGCCCAAAGTGAGCAGAAAGATAGACACCAGAAAGACGAGAGAAAAAAATAATTAACAAAACAGAGTGGGTTTTCTTAAAAGATAAATCAACAAACTCTATCAGCTATAATAAGCTAGACTAGGAAAAGAGAGAAAACTCAGATAAATAAAATAAAAAATGAGAGAGGGAGTTTTTTTTTCTGTTTTGAGGAATGAGAGAAAAATTGTCAAAAATCATAAAATCCTTAAATACAATTTACTATACAGAATTGCATACAGGTGGAGAATTCCTATTCCCAAAACCCAAAATCTTAAATTGTCCAATATTCTAAACTTTTTAAAAAGCCAACATGATACCACACTTGGAATATTTCACACCTGACCTTATATGACTTGTCACAGTCCAAACATGGTCAAAACTTGGTTTCATGCACGAAATTTAAGAAAATGTATGTATTTACCTCAGGCTATGTGTACACAGTATACATGAAACATAAGTGAATTTTATATTCAGACTGAGTCTCATTCCCCAGATATCTTATTATAAATATGCAAATAATCCACAAATAAAAACAAAAACAAAATCCAAAACACTTCTGGTTTCCAGCATCTAGGATAAAAAATACTCAACCTGTATTTTCATTCTTTCAATAAGTTCTGTGAAAAGCAATAAGAAAATTTCTATTTAAAAAAAAATATTGTGTGAGTCTAAAACTCTTCCAAAAATTACTCTTTAATGTGTTTGTCTTTTCCAGTTTATTGTAAGGTGTCTTTGAGCCAAGGGAAAACTTCTCCTTTGCCCCCTGAAGTTTGTTTCTTTGCAAATCAGCTAACAAAAGTCAAATTGTAACTGGATCCAGGTTGGTTTGCTCACCATTCAAATGTCAAACACAAGAGGTGAGGGCTGGTGTGAAGGGAAAAGTTGGTTCAATCAGAGAGCTAGCAAACCAAGAAGATGTGGAACTGCATTCTAAAGCATCACTTAAATTTTAAAATTTACCATAGAAATTTTAAAGGAAAACTTAGTATGGGAGACTTGCAGGAGTGGGGCAGAGGGTGCAGGGTACGTGTGTCTTGTTCTGATGGCTATTTGGGTAATTGCTCATATGGAGGTCTGGTTGGCATTATCTTCAGCTAGATGGTGGTGGACTAATTGTTCATGATTTTCCCTAAGTCAGAGGATTCTGCAGGGGCTTTGGGCTTTTTGCCTAATTTGTTTAAAGATTAGCTTCTGGAATTCCTTAAGCAAGAACATAATTAGATGAGCATGTATGGCTAGAGGGGAGTTTCTAGAGAGGGAAGGAATGAAGGGGTGAGAGGGAAGGGAAGAAAATAAAAGAAAGTGGGTGATTAAAATATATTTTCAAAACTGAGGTGCTGGTTAAAAGACTAATAGGAAAAACAGCGTACAAAATATAATAATATGCATATGCATACATGGGAGTAAACGAAACATGAAAATATTAAAGAAAGGGCCAGAGGGTTGAAGTTTCATACCATCCTGAGATTACAGAAATAACAGGGGTTTGGAGTACACCAAGACCAGTTATGGGAAGGAGCAGAGGAAAGGCGTGGCTAGCCAAAAGCTTCTTGCTATGCAAATGAAACTGATACAGGACAGGCAAGCCCAGAAATTGAGGCTCACCCAGGGGGGTTCTTGGCTTTGCCCAGGAAATAATTCAAGGGCAAGTTGGTGGTGTTAAAAAGTAACTTCTACTGAAGCAGCAGTGTACAGCAGAAGCAGAGGTACTGCTCCTTGTGGAACAGAACTACCACATAGGCAGCACGCCCACAGTAGCAGCTCAGAGGCAGCGCCGTGCTCATAGTTATACCCGCTTTTAATTGTACGCAAATTAAGGGGCAGTTTATGCAGACATTTCTAGGATGAGCGTTGTAACTTCTGGGTTGTCTGGTTGTTGCCATGGAAAGGGGCAGTAACTTCCGGGTGTTGCCATGGCAATGGTAAAATGACTTGGCACACGGCTGGGAGTGTCTTACAGGAAGGTGCTTCCACCTGGACCTGTTTTAGCTAGTCCTCAATTTGGTCAGGTGTCCAAGACTCACTTCTGGAGTCTAGTGTGACCTCTTACCTCAAAACCTCCTGAATAGCAGCTCTTAGAAAGAATGTTTCTGCATGAGTTCACGTCCTTTGCAGGGACATAGATGAAGCTGGAAACCTTCATCCTCAGCAAACTAACACAGGAACAGAAAACCAAACACCACATGTTCTCACTTATAAGTGGGAGTTGAACAATGAGAACTCATGGACACAGGGAGGGGAAATCACACACTGGGGCCTGTCAGGGGGTTGAGGGCAAGGGGAAGGATAGCATTAGGAGAAATATCTAATGCATGCATGGCTTAAAACCTAGATGACAGGTTGATGGGTGCAGCAAACCACAATGACACATGTTTACCTATGTAACAAACCTGCACATTCTGCACATGTATCCCAGAACTTAAAGTATTAAAAAAGAAAAAAAAAAAAAAAGAATGTTTCCGTCAGATCCCTAAAGGTGTCAGTCAGGCTATCAGTCTTTCTCTCCCAGAAGCCAATCCTTCCTAGATTCTGACAAGGGGAAGGGAAGGAAGAGAAAGCCTTGCTATTTATTTCCCAATGCAGATTTTCTCTACAGATGCGAATCTCCTCCACAAAGGCAGCTTTGCTTGGGTATTTCTGTCTGCACCCCCTTTGAATAGCCATCTCAAAATATGTCAAAGAAGTATATTTTGGGGTGAGATATTTTTGGTATTATTTAGTCCCTGATTTAAAACTGTATTTTCAGAAAGTTTCATATATTAATGTAGGACTGGTAAGTATAGAGAGTTTGGGCTTAGAAGTTTCTAAATAAGAGTAGGCAAAATGGGTGGGGGAAGATGGGAACAAGCCGAGAAGGAAATTTAAGTACATTGCTTTGTGTCTTCTTCAAACAGCCTCAGTCCCGAGAATAGATCAGTTCAGTTAAACGGTTGTGTCCCAGTGCAGAAGATGTCATTGCAGATGGGCCCTCAAAGCTAGGCCTGTGTATATGAGGCAAGCAAACAGAAATTTAATAAGAGGCATTTCTACGTAAACAGAAAAAAAAAAAGTTTAATGGCTGGAATGGTCTATAAACCAGTTTTGCTAGAGTAGCTGAAGTTTCTTCAGTTAGAGAGGGCAGGCAGTGGCAATCTAATAGATTTTTCTGGATTGTAGCTTGAACCAGGTGTTCCAGTGAACTTTCCGAGCAGTTCATACATCAACAGGTATGAAGGGTGTTTATATATAAACTGCTGTAGTTATTTCTCTTAAAGTTGATATCAAGTTGTCTAGCTTCACTTTTCAGAGCTTTAGGAAAAAAGCAGTTTTAATTCCTCATTATTTCAAATCAGAATTTTGGGAGGCAAATTAGAAATGTTAGTCTGGAGAGTCACAGTCAGATATTAGAACTAAACATTTAGGATTTAGTTTAGACAGCAGGTATTTCATAAAATCTGGAAAAAAAAAGAGCTGGAATTAATAACAGGTGTACCATGGGTCTGATTTTTTTTTTCTGTTTTTGGCTGTTGTTGAAACATAATTTTTCTCTCTCCAGTGCTCCATTTCTACCAAGAAGAAATCATAGTATGAACAACTTATTTGCAAACTAAACTTTAGCTTTTTAAATACTTGACTATTCACATAAAGTGCAAGAAGAATAGTGATTGGCCACAAAGGGTCTTTTTAAGTTGGCTTTTTTGGAACTTTTGTATACAAAATTTTGGATTAGACTTGCAAAAATTGAGAATTGGGGGACGAGGCAAAGATTGTGTCTGTAATATTTGTATATATTGAATGAATTTCTCTATTGTTGACTACAAAAAAAGATAAAGAACCAGCAATGTTTCCAACAATATAAATCATTAAAATAATTTTAGTTCCTCATCAGTTCAGTCACATGTAATTAATTCTTTTTCTATTTGATGTTAGGTTAGCAATTTTATGAGTCCAGCTTTTTCTTCCAATGGAGTTTTAAAATTTTAACCTAGTTGTATTCTTATTCAGTGTTAACCAGTTGAATCATACTCAACTTTGAATATGTTATCAAAATTGTCAGAAACCTGTATTTAAGGGTACTTATTGTAGTCTTTTTGTGAACCTCCTCAAATATACAACACTTTAGTATTTGCCAAGAGCTTTTAGAAAAATGAAAAGTATCAGAATATAGGAGTTGACTGTGGACAACAATACTTAAAATGGCCATTGTTAAAGATAAAATTGAAAAAAAGTTTATTTCCTGTGGCCTCCAACAATTGTACACATTAACCATAATTACGATTGATAACATAGGCCAAGACATATCAAATTTTTAGGAATCTCATACAATTTTGGAACACATATTAATAACATATCCACACAAATATATTTAATAAAGAAAGCATGAGGCACATTCTCTTTCTCTTTCTTCCTTTTTTTCTGGCAGTTTACTTAAAAGGTGAACAAAATATCTCTTATTAATTCTACATAAAATTCTCATTTAAATGAGAAAAACTGCAAGGCCTGGTGGCTCATGCCTGTAATCCCAGCACTTTGGGAGGTTGACATGGGAGGATTGTTTGAGCCCAGGAGTTCGAAACCAGCCTGGACAACAAAGTGAAACCCCCATCTCTAAAAATAAAGAAATAAGTAAGAAAACCAAATTTTACTTTTATATAAGTGTATTATTAATACTAAAGCTAAGTTTATTAAAATCTTACAAACAGATCCATCCAATCTCAATCATCTTTGAACAAACAAGATAAGATTTCCATAAAACTTTTATAAACACATATTTTTTTTCTTGTTTTGTTTCTTTCCTCAGGTATTTATATATATTTACTTTTATGTACATGAATCTGTTTTCTTAATTCCTTCAATTTGAAATAACCTTTAAATAACCTCAAAACTTGACAAAATTACTTTTTCTTCAGAAAAATATCCCCACATTTCTTTATTAACCTCCCTTACCAAAAACACATCCAATCTCCTTTATACACTCTGCATACAGGACTGTTTTTCTCATGTCTAGTAGTGTAAAATAAATAGATTCTCACATTTTTAACTCTTAGTAACCCTAATTTCCCATTGAAAACCTAAAAAGGAAGCAATTTTAATGTTTATGTACTAGATACTGAGCCCAGGACAGAGGGCAGAGCTGTGTAGACAATGCTTGGAGGATCTGACCCCTCCTAGAATGGCAGGAGGCAGAGCTGGGCCAGACAGAATGGGGCTATATTGAGCTTGGCTTTGCTCTGCAGCTTGTGGCATGGGTGCTATTGATACACATAAGTCCCCAGGCCTTACCATGGCCACTTGTCTAAGACACCTTGGAATCTAAAGGCTCACAACCAAAGACATAAGCTCACAGACACATAAAGTAAGTATCAGAAATCTCACAGAAGCATCAGTTTTATGACTTTAAAACATCTCTTAGAGACAGAATAAATTAGTCCAACTAGTAAACCCAGGCAGAAATGCCTGAAATTCTGAATATATTTCCATTTTATTTTACCAACGATTTTAACACTAGTTTTATTTACCAAAAATTTCTATGTCATTTGAATTTGAAAAGCATTTGGGCTAGTCATTTGTGAGTACTCGTTCATTTATAAGTCAACTGCATATCATGTAAACAATATATAAGACAGGTATGTACACATGTATACATAAAATACATGAAAACATAAAAAAAATTTTCTACTTTGATTTTAAATTTTTCGCTACGAGGCAGGTGAAACTCACTAGTTTAAAATAACAGTTTGGTTCAGGAGAGGTGGCTCATGCCTGTAATCCCAGCACTTTGGGAGGCCAAGGCAGGTGGATCACGAGGTTAGGAGATTGAGACCATCCTGACCAACATGGTGAAACCCCGTCTCTACTAAAAATACAAAAATTAGCTGGGTGTGATGGTGTGCACCTGTAATCCCAGCTACTCAGGAGGCTGAGGCAGGAGAATCACTTGAACCAGCAGGCAAAGATTGCAGTGAGCCAAGATCATACCACTGCATTCCAGCCTGGCGAAAGACTAAGACTCCATCTCAATAATAATACTAATAACAATTTGATTAAACTGTGTTTCTATAAATAGAACAAATTAAAACTTATCTGTCCATTGTGGATGAAGACTTTACTGACATTTAGAGAAAACAGGGTAGCAAATTTTCATCTCAAATCACAGAGAGAGAATTTGAGCATTACCAAGAAGGACTCTGGGTGTGTTAGAGGAAGATTAAAAGTGAATTCCAAGGTAACACAAAATCACAGGAATTCATCACAGGGATTTTGTAAGGACATGCATTTTAGTCAAATAGGCAGTTGCCAATTTAATCTTCATTTTCCAACTGAACCACTGAGGTTAAGACAGAGCCTGTCAACGAATAGGAGCAACAAAGCATTTTCAGTTTCCGGGATCTAATACTTATGTATGTGAAAAGAAAGTGCAGCTGGAAGGCAGAGCACCTAAATCCCCAGATATAATAATGTATTTCACTTTTACACTAAATCCCTGGTCCCTTAAAGCTGATGCAAAAACCCAGGAGGAAAACACTGAGGGGCTGGGCCACACAAGTCTTCCACAGTGTACCTTGCTGCAAGTACATTGCCCTGAAGCTGGTGGGTGACTCAATGCTAATCAGCCCATTCTGTAATCAACTCATCACTTATGGGAGTATTATCTCTTGATGACAAGTATTCCCATAGCGTCTAATTGTCCAAACTGTGTTTCTTTTATCTAAATGCACAAAGAAACAAGTAGCCCCTTGCAGTAATAACCTTTCACTGCAACTGTTGTCAACCACCTCCCAAACTGCAGCCCTTGATAGTGACTTGCCAGCCATTGCATACCAAAATGTCAAGTGCTATTTTGTCTCACAATACAAACTAACCCCGGTACCATCCGAAACCAAAGAGATCAAAGAACTCAATGCAAGAGACAGCAAAGCTTTAGACGTGTGAAAAACCTATCCATGAGTATTAGGGCTCCGTGAGGAAGGCGAAAGACTCCCAGAAAAGAGTGTGTGTTGCCTTTTCCTGTGTTTCTCAAGGGGTCTGAGGGTTGCTAGAAGTCCTCTTAAGATCTCTTCATGTGGTATTGTTACCAGTGGAGGGTCTTGCTTATAAGTCATCCAGGTTCTTGGGATTTTGAACAAAGAATTGGACAGAATGCACAAACAAAGCAATGAAAGAATGAAGCAACAGAAGCATACATAGATTTATTGAAATGAAAGTACACTCCACAGAACGAGAGCAGGCTGAAGCAAAGGGCTCAGGAAGGCTGGTTACAGAATTATCTGGGGTTTAAATATCCTGTAGATGTTTCCGATTGGTTATTTGGTTACACCCTATGTAAATGAAGTAGTGGCCCACGATCAGTTTGATTGGTTGAAGAAGGAGACCAATCAGAGGCTGAAGTTTCAAAGTTACACCCCTATGCAAATGAAGACTAGGCCTGCAACCAGTCTGATTGGTTGTGAGAGGGGACCAATTGGAGGTACTTTCCATTTTTCATCTGTGGGGCAGAAGGTGGGGGTAGTGATTGCAAAGGGATCTTTTTGTTATTTGGACATGGAAAGTTGGGGTTTTCCTTTTGATTCAGTTATTGGAAGTCAGTGCAAATTGGCCCTAGGTTCCCTGCCTCCAGACCCTTTTCTCCTGCCTCAATATTTAAGGTAGCATACAGGAAAGAAAGATAGAAGTAAATGGGAGAACAAGTCTTATAGAAAACTATTGTGGAGATTTTAAGTTTTCCCCAAATCCAGTGAAGTTCTAGTTAGCAGGAGTTTCAGGGAAAAAAAAAATCTAGTTCAGTAAGAAGTTGCCATGTGAGAAATAGGATTTTAAAGAGATCAGAGAAGAATAGCAGCTTTTAATTAAGCTTATTTTTGTCCAGAGTGCTCTTAAAAATCCTTTCAAATATACCAGTAGCAAACTTTATGTCTCTTGAGAGGCTGAGCTTTCACTGGAGCTGAGAATATGGCAGAGGTAGCTGAGGAAGAGATCTCTCTACCTTCCTGGCCAGGGAGAATCCAGCCTCTTTCACTCATTTGTTTGATTCCCAGGGTGGAGGGAGGTATGTTTCTCTGGGCCAGTAGAGAAAGCAAGATATAAGGAAAACAGAAGTTGCTACCACACTCTAAATATATGCCAAAGGTTTAAATCAAAGGTATACCTAAACAAATGACTCAAAACCAAAACAAATAAGCACATATGAAACTAAACCCAGGAAGTCTCTCATGGCTTTAACCAAGCTCTCCAAAGAGGGAGCAGAAGCTGCAACCCTCCCAGGATGCAGAACATCCTCAAAGACATCTCAAAGAAAGGACAGGATTGTTAACTGCAAATGAGGTATACACCACATTTCTGCCCAGCAATATTCTTTAGGATTTCAGCTTCTCAGCTGACTGTCTGCACACAAAGCCTTGACAATCCATGTGCTCCAGAGATGGAAGATTAAAAGAAACAGTAGGTAAGACAGGAAATCAAAAGTTGTCCATGGGGATAGAAAAGATATTAATGGTTACCCCAAAAGATCAAGAGTCACAAAATATAAATTCAAAATGAATAATTCAGACTCATTTTTGTAAATGTTTCTTTTTTCTTCTTAGTTAAAAGACTTACATTTCTGAGGGTCTGGTTCCCTGACCAGGAACCAAATCCTGGCCCTGATGGTTAAATAGTGGAATCCTAGCCACTGAACTACAGGCTGCAGTGCCTTTTTGAAAATCCCACAAGGGATCCAACACAGCACTTTGAGCGAACTGCCCACTGTGGTGTCAGAGCCCCAACACTGGAAAATGTTTGACTCACAGGTTGGCAAGAAGAATTTATCGACAACAGTTAGGTTTGAAAAAGGAAGGTTTTATTAGAAAGAAAGAACGCTGTAGAAGAGTGCAGTGGGATGCCTCAGCAGGAGAGGACTGAGCTACCACAGTGGATTTTTCCTTAAGGGTATTTATAGACCTTAAAGCAGGCGCTTTAGGGTAATTTGGACTATGTTAGCCATGTAGGTCATGAGAAATGCTTACATTTGTCCATGTGTTGGTGCCTTAATGTCAGCAAGTGTTGCACAAAGAGTTTCACTATGCATGCATTCTGGAGATGCTTAGAAAGTCTAGTTACCTATACATTTTAGGGAAAGAAACCTGGAACCAGATGCTTGCTTTAAATCACAGGGAAGTCAAATTATGTCTGAATTCCTCAGATAAGGAGTTTTGCCTCTGGATGGTCTGCTTGATGGCCACCAGGTGATCTTCACTCTCCTCATATACAAAGGATTTTAACTTTTTAAAAAAACCGATTCCTGCCTTTCTTTTTAAAAAAATCTTTCCAAGGAAGTTTTTAAGGCAGTCTATCTCTATCTCTATCTCTATCTATATATCTATATCTAAATCACAGATTTGCACTTTTATAGGTATCAATAAGATAGCTATTTAAGATGAGAACTCTCCAAAAAGTTTTCTTTAAAATATAGGTAATTTATTTATTACATAAGTGAACTACTTCATATTCAATTTGTTTCCTGTTAATCCAAATTGGAAGGGGAAAAAGACAAAGATTCTTACTGCCCTCATTCAACCTAGGCTCTATAAATGGAAGTCTAGGATGACTAATTTGATAGAATAATTCTCACTATTTTTTGTAAACGTTTCCTCCGTTGTTCCAAGATTCCATCTGTAGGCTCTGAAACAAACATTGGGATTTGTTATCCTGCTCACAGCACCAAAACTATTGGGGCCAAGGAAAACTTCTCCTTTGCCCACTGATGTAGTTCACTGAAAAATCAGCTGACAAAAGGCAGATTAATAAGAAAAAAAGGCATACAAAATTTATTAATGTGCACATGTGCACACAGGTGTCATACAAAATATGTAAAAGAAAAACTCAAAGTTAGATCATTGAAGTTTGATACCATCTGGGGGTTACAGAAAGAATACGGGCTTGGAGTACACCTGATCAGTTATGGGAGGGAGAGAAGAGAAAAGGCATGGCTAGCACAGGCTGTCTTGTTATGCAGATGAAACCCACAGATAGAAGCTCTTAGAAAGCATAAGTTTTCGTCAAACACTCAAAAGTGCAGATTCTCAGTCTTTCTCTTTTGCAGGAGCCAATCCTTCCTAGAGCTGGACAAGGGGCATGGTGTGGAGTGGGAGGAGAGACTGGCTGTTTATTTCACCAATGCAGATTTCCTCTACAGATGCAAATCTCCACAAAGGCAGCTTTGCAGAGCTATTCTTGCATGCTGGCTCCCTGAACAGGCATCTCAAAATATGTCACAGGTATATTTTAGGGAGAAATATTTTTGGTTTCCTTTAATCTGCAGCAGTAATGTCATACATGGCATATAGTGGGTTCTCAGTAAATGTTGCTAATAAGAACTGATACAAATTCAAAAGGAAAAGGAAGAAAAGTGAAGTTTGGATTAAGCAGTCATTTCTTTCCAACTCAAAATTAGAAATAATTTTGTTTTCCATTTTCATGTATATTTCCTGATGTTTTCATGGCGAAACAAGGGAGAAAGAAATAATATGTTATTGGTAGATAAGGTTGTTACCTGGTTCCCGAAGAAAACCTAAACTCAAATGTGGATGCATATTAATACGATGGGCGTACCTATGTCAGAGGCTTGTGAACCAGAGCAAATCCATCTTGAATAGGCGCGAGGTAAAATAAGGCTAAGACCTGCTGGGCTGCATTCCCAGATGGTTAAGTCATTCTAAGTGACAGGATAAGGTAGGCAGTCAGCACAAGGTACAGGTCATAAAGACCTTGCTGATAAAACAGGTGAGGAAGCCAGCTAAAACCCACCCAAACCAAGATAGCCATGAGAGTGATGCCTGGGTGTCCTCACTGCTACACTCCCACCAGCACCATGACAGTTTACAGATGCCATGGCAACATCAGGAAGTTACCCTATATGGTCTAAAAAGGGAAGGCATGAATAATCCGCCCCTTGTTTAGCATATAATTGAGAAATAACCATAAAAATGGGCAACCAGCAGGCCTTGGGGCTGCTCTGTCTATGAAGTAGTCATTCTTTTATTCTTCCACTTTCTTAATAAACTTGCTTTCACTTTACTGTAGGGACTCACTCTGAATTATTTCTTGTGCGAGATCCAAGAACTCTTGAAACCTCTCCTGGGGTCTGGATCGGGACACCTTTCTGGCGTCACATCTGCCACATTTTAGGAAACAAAGACAAGCTGGGCATGGTGGCTCACACCTGTAAATTCCAGCACTTTGGAAGGCCAAGGTGGGTGAATCACACGGGGTCAGGAATTTGAGACTAGCCTGGCCAACATGGTGAAACACTGTCTGTACTAAAAATACAAAAAAATTAGTTGGGTGTGGTGGCAGGCGCCTGTAATCCCAGCCACTTGGGAGGCTGAGGCAGGAGAATCACTCAAACCCATCAGGCAGAGGTTGCAGTGAGCAAAGATCATGCCACTGCACTCCAGCCTGGGCAGTAGAGACAGACTCTGTCAAAAAAACGAAACAAAACAAAAACAAAAACAAAACAAAACAAAGACAAAATATTTCATTTTGTTACACCAATAAACCATGTATATATATGTATATATGATATATATATCATTTTTAAATTTTATATAATGATATATATATTATTAAAATTTTTTTTTTACATTTCACAGACTATCTCCTTTCAGCTCTCAAATACTGTCTGATACTTCAAAGCATCTCAATCATACAACATCTGCCCACATGGCCCAACTGATGTTTTGGAAAACCTTGTCAAGAATTCCAGGGAATGAATAGAGTTATCCCAGCAGCTTCTAGAAATTTTCGCAGGGCTCTATATTTCTGCTGTTCATTATGGTAGCCACTGACTCCATGTGATACTTGAGTTCTTGAAGTGTGGCTAGTGTGAGTGAATAATTGAATTTTTGGTTTTATTTAATTTTAATTAATTGAAATTTAAATTTAAGTAGTCACATATGGCAAATGGCTACTATATTAGTCAATGCAGCAGAAGTTTCTCAATTGAATATGAAGCACCTGATTATGTCAGGATGGGTTACAATAATAATCAATTTACTTTGACTTCCGGCTATTGAAATGATACCATGAGGTTATCAATCCAAAACCATCCTCTTTTATTTCTGTTTTTGTTTTTATGAGCACTAATACTCTAGAGTTTTGAATGATGAATTAAAATAACTAAATTCTAGTTCCATGTGATTTTTACTACTTCACTAAGTGTATTTTTCATGTGTATACAAGAGATGATACTCTACCTGAATCCCTCATTGGGATTTATGATAATATTTACATTTTAAGAATTATTGAGCACCTACTAATTACCAGATGTGAGACAAGCTCTTGGTTTGCGAAGATAAATAAAACATGGTTTCCAATCGAGCTTATAGTCCAGCTTTGAATTGCCTGTGAAAATCGATTTAGTATTTACAAGGTGCTATGGAAAGTAAAGGATTATTATTTTTTGTTCTTTAGACACTGTAATGTTTTCTGTATATGAAGGCCAGATTTTCAATAGTAAAAGATATTGGAAAGGCGTAAAAACCAGAAAATAACAGAACAAATTGGGAAAAGCTGACTGCATTAAGACCACAAATATCTCTCAACGAGTGGTGTCAGGTAGGTGACAAGAAGGCAAGGGACTTTTCCATTCATTGAAAGCAATAAATAAAAATTAATATCTGGACAGTGCTTTAAAGCTTATGAAGTACTGTCACAATATCTATGCCCACACTTAAGGTGTGCAATCTCAGTTCTGGTATTGTAGAAAATGAGAAATGGTAGGGAAAGAGAAATAATTGAAATTTCTCTGAAGGAAACTGTGTGTAGAGAAGAGATTAGGCCACCAACCAGGAAGAAATTTATGAAAAGCAAAAGCCAGATAAAGTCATGTTCACTCTTTTCATAAGACAACCAGAATAAAGACAAAAATAAAATAAAGTAAAACAGCTGCACTGGGTAAGACCAATGTCCTCCTCATTTTTGCAGCCACCAATTGCATACTTGAGGCAAGTCCAAAGAACTGGAAGATGAACATTAGTGTGTTGTGCTTACTACAAACATTTTAATGGATTTGAATGCATCTTTCAATAACAGCAACAGATTTATTGTTATGTTGTGATTGCTCGGTATTTATGCCACTACTGATTTATGATTTTTTAAATATAACTTCATGAAGTAATGACCATTATTATCTCTATCTGACATATAAGGAAACTGGATCCCTTAAAGTTAAGTTACCTGTCCTGGATGACATAGCTATTAAGTGATGCCAAGTCTCCTTTATTTTAGATGTGTATATAATGTTTCAAAACTATTTTTATTAGAAGCAGAAATTAATAGTAAACAGCTATTTCTAAGCACAGAGTTTCAAGTTTCACATGTGAGACTACTCAGTGATCTAGTACAACTTTTATTTAACTACTGGGTACTCAGTGATGTTTGATGAAAAATAAATGGCTTTGTCAGATAATATGCTTAGTTTAAGTACTAGGATATCAGATGGGCATAAGATGTGATCCCTGCTTTTGATGAGCTTCCAAAAACTTCATCTCCTTCCATTGATGCCCATAATCCATTGACTGGGTTCAATGTATCCAGTTAATACAACTGAAATTACCTTCCTCAAACTGAAATATTTTTGTCTACTGCCTATTCTGAAGAAGATATCAAAAGCCCCAAATCTTCTGTCTCCAAATTCAGTGTTACTTTGGGATCTCTTACTTATTTAACACCACCTATGTCTTACCTATTTACTACTGTCTACTACGGCTTCTACCATATTAGCCTCAGAAAATAAACATCCTTCCCTAATTTCCCGTTGCTAAGACCGGCTGGTAAAAATGTATCAGAATCTTATAAACCTGCAGGTGTTGTCAAACATTTTCTGTAAAGGGTTAGTTTGAGCAGTATCTGTCTCAACCATGCAACTTTGCCTTTACAGCAAAAGTGTCCTGGGACAATTACATAAACAACTGGTCATGGTTAGGTTATAATTACACTTTATTTACAAAAACTAGGTGCATGCAGATTTGGCCTGTGGGCTGTGATTTGTTGATCCCTGAATACAATTTTGGTATAGTGAGAGCTCACCCCCTCCTACAATAAAAATACTTGAATTTGGGTTCTGTATTTCTGGTGAGGTATCTGAGTTATCTGAAATTGCATTCATGTCATAATCTTCAGGTTAGTGAGGTACAGACACTCATACTTCTGGGAAATCCAGAAAGATAAGACACATTTTAGTGACAGAACTTGGGACAATGATATTCACTTTCTCTTTCCAATAGCATTGTTTCCTCTTTAAAAATTTTGAATGGGAGAAATGAGACTTCAGTTCCTTATACTTGGAGGAGCAATAAATAAATAAATGAAAGGGTGGGGTGGGATAGTAAGATGCTGACACCTTGTAGCAGATAATGATGTGTTGCTGTATTCTGGATTAGTTAATTTGCCTGAATCCTCTTTCAACTATTTATATTCTCAGGCTCTAGAGAAAATGGAGGTGTACATATGCTACCTACTGGGTTAAATGGTGCTTACTTTTATTTCTTATAATCTGACCTTTATCAAGATTGACGCGGGGTGTTCAATTTGCTTCAACAAATCTTCTAATGCCAACACTGTGTTCAGTCTCTTGAGTCCCCTTGTGAAATGCTAGGCTATAATCATCCACTCTCCAAGCCGTCATCATTCTAGTTAAAGGTCTAATCCTCTTGTGACTAATCCCAGACTTCAGGAACTCTCAAAAAATTCCAACTCTCTTATAATTTTCCTCATTGCTTTCTTTTTTCCTTCCTTCCTTCCTTCCTTCTTTCCTTTCTTTTCTTCATTTGCATTTTTTGTTATGAGATATTTAATCATTGGCCATGATTATTGTCTTTACAATTCTCCTATTAAATGTTTTAACTTGCAAAAAAAAAAATTTTCCATGTAAATTGAGAATGAAGCAACATTGTTCTGGAATGGAAAGACACAACAACTTAGAGTACTATGAAATCTTCATTCCTTTGGGGCTTTCTGCTGCAGGAAATAAGATTAGTAGGTCACCTCATCGTTAAGGAGAGAAACACATTTATCAAAGTACCAGACATAATATTAAGTCCTAGTGATAAAGTGGCGAACAAAAGAAACATTATTATGCTTTCTTACATCTTGAGGGCTGGGGGATGGGGGTGGGGGAATTCAGCATACTTACTTTGCTAAAGAGGAATCTTAACCATGTCTGCTGCCTTATGTTTTAAATTTATTTATTTATTATTATTTTTTTTGCGTTGAGTGATGCAGCCTGTCAGGAAGAGTTTCCTGAAGGATATTTCATCTGAGAGCTGATGGGTGAGTGGGGATCACCAGGCAAGGGGAGAGCAAAGTGCATTCTACTCAGAGGCAACAGTGTGGGTCACCTTCTTGAGATGTAGGAGATGGAGATAGGTAGAGACAGAAAGACATAGAGGAAGAAAAAAATTGGGAGAGAGAGATGCTTTGGAGGAAATGAGAAGTACAGTTGAAGCAGGGGATTTCCCTGACCCCTTCGTGGGATCTGTGACAGAGGTGCCTTGTTTACTCAGCCCCTTGCTCTCAACTCCTCATGGAATGGAGCACGTGAGTGAACGAGGCGGAAACTGGAGTGCAGGAGCGCTGGAACTGGCCAGCCGCTTTGCAGAAGGAGCGGGCCCTGCGTCAATGTCCAGTTGGGGGTGCCTGCAACCCCCAAGGCCACAGAGGGCTTGTTACAGTGCTCTTTTAGCTCTGCCATTCGTGGACAGCTTATGTGTTAACAGCTCATTGGGCCATTTGCTTTGTCGCATGGGACAGCTGCCCTCTGCCAGCAAGGGCGAAGGGTCAGTGTGACAGCATTTTGTATATGCGCTTGTGGTTCCCGAGCTTTTGTCCAGCATCCAGGAAAAATGAGGTCACACAAATGAATTGAAGGATGGTAAACGCAAGGCATTTTATTCCTGATGAAAGTGGCTCTCAGCCGGAAGAGGAACTGCAAATGGAATGGGGGTGTTCGTAATCGTCCCCTGAAATCCAGCTGTTTCCAGCCAGACTTTTCTCTGAAGTTACCTCGTCAAGCTGTCCCTCTGAAGTCAAGCCACTTCTCTCCGATTTCAAACGTAGTCCTGAATCTGGGGTTTTTATAGGCACAGGATGGGGCAGAGTAGGACCATGGGTGATTTAGGAAAAAACAACATTTAAGCAGGGAAACGGGGATATAGGTTCTCACTTTGGGCCGCAGTTTTGGCTTGAGGGTGGGGTTTTTACTGGAGACCCACCCTTTTCTGCCTAGAATTTCTTTGCCTCCTGTCGCTATCACAATGAAGGCAGATGAGAAAGAATCACAAGGAGCATCTTGAAGATGAAGATGAATCAGCAGAGTTAGGAAGGTGCAGATTATCCGTTTATCATATAGGCTAAAAACATACCATTGAAGAATTCTGAGAATAATGATGTAACCAGAATTGGTCTTTTAAAAGATGAGTCTGACTGTTGTTTAGATTTTACAAAATGGAAAAAGCAAGGGGGAGAAAAAAGACAAACCAAAAGCAAGAAGATCAGCTTGAGGGCTACAGCAGCATTGCTGTAAAATAGGAGGCCTAATCTACTCTAAATATTTTGGCAATGGTGGGAAAAAGCAGATGCGTATTTCAGGGTTTTTAGCAATGAGTTGTTATTGGAAAAGCTGAACATTGATAACATTTTTACTCTTTAACCAAGGTGAATCTTATCCATGAAAGCATCTTTCTTTCCTACTCCCTCCTGGGACTGGGAGAACTTGAGGACAATGTCAGAATTTGGAGAATGAAAATTTTTTATGTCACTGTATTAGTCTGTTCTCATGCTTCTAATAAAGACATACCTGAGACTGAGTAATTTATAAAGGAAAGAGGTTTAATAGATTCACAGTTCCACAGGGCGGGGGAGGCCTCACAATCATGGTGGAAGGTGAATGAGAAACAAAGGTACATTTTACATAGTGGAAGGCAAGAGAGTGTGTGCAGGGGAACTCCCCTTTATAAAGCCATCAGATCTCGTGAGACTTATTCACTTCACGAGAACAGCATGGGAAAGACCCACCTCCATGATTCAATTACCTCCCGCCAGGTCCCTCCCACAACACATGGAAATTATGGGAGCTAATATTCAAGATGAGATTTGGGTGGGGACACAGCCAGACCATATCAGTCACCTCCACACCATCTGTCAATTAAGAATTTCTGTATATAACAGCCTCCGTTGGGATGAAATACATTTGCTAGTAAAAGGTATAGAAGTAGAACAGAGCTTCTCAAACTTGACTCCACAGTAGATCATGTGGAGACCTAAAGAATCTGATGCCTGGGAGATTCTGATTGAATTGTTTTGGATTTGTATCCTGGAGAATAGGCTTTTTAGCACTCTTCCCAGGTGATTTTTATGTTCAAAGTTTGAGAATGTCTAGAGTGGAGGACAAGAGGAAAACCACTACTCTGTTGTTAAACTTCATTCTTTCCTTGAGTTGAGTCACTTATTCTCACACTTGATCTTAGCCAAAAGGCTGAGCAGCAATGAGTCACTCATTCTCTATTCATTCTCTCCATGAGTCTCTCATTGTCTCCATGAGTTGTTCTCATGAGCAACTTCCCCAATCCATAAGGCTATCACAAATTCCTATTATTAACCAACTTCCAAATGATTAATTCTTAGCTGTTTTTCTCCAAGCTTAAGGCTTGAGTTCTTCCATTTGTATTAGCTTTTAAAAATTCTGGTAAAATACACGTAACATAAAAGTTGCCATTTTAACCATTTTTAACCTGTAAGATCAAGTTGCATTTAGTATGTGAACAATTTTTTTGTATCTGTCACAACCATCTTTTTTTTTTTTTTTTTTTTTTGATGGAGTCTTGCTCTATCGCCTATGCTGGTGTGCCGTGGCGTGACCTCAGCTCACTGCAACCTCCACCTCTTGGGTTCAAGTGATTCTCCTGCCTCAGCCTCCCAAGTAGCTGTGACTACAGGTGTGTGCCACCATGCCCAGCTAATTTCTTTTGTATTTTTAGTAGAGACAGGGTTTCGCCATGTTGGCCGGGCTGCTCTTATACTCCTGACCTCAGGTGATCCACCTGCCTCGGCCTCCCAAAGTGCTGGGATTACAGGCATGAGCCACCATGCCCGGCCCAACCACCATCATTTTTAAAGGGCCTTTTTGAAGCAGGGCAGCTGAAGACAGACTTTGAAATAGCAAACCACAACAGTCAAACAACATCTTCGAATATAGGTGGGCCATTCCTTTTACAACTTCCCTGACCTTTTCCAGCTTGAACAAAATGAGCCAAAATATGCATGTCTGCTCTGCAATTTTCATAGGTATCAGGGCTACCATAAACATGCTTATAAAGGTATTATAAATTGCAAGTATCTTTGCATCATATGTAGAAATGTACTTGGAAAAGTGCATTCTGTCTTGAACAAATGCCTGTAACTTTCTGTATTAAAATTCCAACACCGTAGGTTGGTTTCTCCAGAAACAGATAATGATATGAAGATCTGTGTGGAAGATGCATACTAGGAATCAAAACATATAAAGGATGCAAAAAGAAGCAGGAATAGGCAAATCAAGAAATCAAAATATAACCCTTGCTTGGAAAAATCTTTGCCAATACTAATGGGGAGCTCTGAAGCCTGCATTGGAGTATGTCCAGCACAACTGACCATTGTTGGACCAAAATGACTGGTCATTTCTGATGTTTTCTAAGAAAGCCTTGCCTTATTCTATGAGAAGCTTCTTTCTTCTTCTTACTGAGACACTCTAAAGTTTTGAAGGTGAGTGACCATTTTCTAGGCATCTTATTCTTCCTCATGATGTAAATCACAGGCAAACCCACTCATCTCCTCCTTCATCCTGTGTCCCTTCCAGAGATCACCAAAGTGATCCTTTTGAGCTGTCTCATAGTTCAGTGCAGATTTTCAGATGAGCAACTCTAGGCCATCTCAAGTTCATGGAGATTAAGGCACGATTGTCTTCTCTTGCAAGTAGAAATGCTCAAACATGGTTTATTTGTCCATCCACTCCAACCTATCTTTCATCCTAAAATAATGGTACTCTAAGTTTTTCCAAACCTAAGTAATGAGCTCCTTTAGGGAAGAAACAGGGGATTTTCTCTCTTTGGATCCCTGATACCTTTCCGTGGTGGGAACTAGCTAGGTTTTAATAATATATGTTGAACGAGGCCAACTGTAGTTGTAATAAGTCTATGTTTCCTGGCACTGCTTGTTTTCAGGCACTTTATCTTATTTACTCCTCACAATAATCCCATAAGGTAGTTGGATCTATTTGCCAATTAAACAATTACAGAGAAAAAATACCCCTTTTAAGATGTGCAAGTCATAAAAAAATGAAATAGAATTAGAAAACAAGACTATCGGCTTCAAGGGTTGCATTTCTTGTCACTCTTGAATAGTGTTTAATTGGTATAAGGTGGCTAGAAGGAAGAGAGAAAGACAAGAAAGGCAGAAAGGAGAGAAAAACATCAACAAAATAGAGTGAGAGTACTCATCTGCGTATTTAAGTCATATTGAAATTTAGGATAAAAACTGAAAAGTTGTATAAATAATTTGGGCAGCTTTTGAAAGGATATAGAATATGTGTTACCGCAAAAGGCCACAAAAGGTGCCATGAAATGCCAGAAAAACAGAGGGCAGCCAATTGGGGTTTTGATT
Source organism: Homo sapiens (assembly GCF_000001405.40). Lineage (NCBI taxonomy): Eukaryota > Metazoa > Chordata > Mammalia > Primates > Hominidae > Homo > Homo sapiens. The sequence continues at coordinate 60,645,300 of NC_000016.10, forward strand.
GAATCCAAAAAATAAAAAGTAGGTAAACAAGGCAGAGATCTGAGAATAGGAATGAAATGGGTCTGGGGTTTGAAATAAGGCACTGTTGTTTGAACTTGATGCATTCTAGGAAAGCAGTGAGGACACCTTATGAGAAAAGTAGCACCATGGTCAATGGGATGAGAGAGAATTCGGCGTTTGATAAAGCAAATTCTGAAATTGCTTCGGCTAATGTTATCATTCACTGCTGAGGACTTTGGCCTTATCTCTTCTAAAACATAAAAGAAGGCTAATTTGTTTTAAAAGAAGTGTTCTATTTGTCCCTCTGCAGTCCACTCAAGGAGCTAATGTATTTAGAGAGCTTTTATCATGGAGCCAGCTTGATGTCTCCCTTCCTCATACTAAGTAAATTTCAGTGAGTTAAATGACAAAAAGCCATCTGCTTTCTATAAATAAGCTCTTCTAATACCTGGCAAATCTTAAAAGTCAAGCTGACAACGAATCTCAGTATGATCAATGATCCGAATTGTATAATTCATCTTCTGCTGAGGAATACTGGTCTTGTTGTGGTTAATAGGAAGAAGATGCATTCATGTTTCTAACTTGGACGTCAACATTTTAGACAAAATTCAATTTTATTTTGATGATCACTGCACATGCTGTTTCTGCTGTCAGGGTTAGGTATCTCTTGCTACAGTGCTGGGACAGTACCTGTTCATTTTCAAATAGTCATCTCAAATGCATCTTCCTATGACATCTGCTGTTACTCACTGGTAGACAATTTATTATTTCCATGAAAATAACAATAAACATATTAATGAAAAATTATGATTATCATTTAATTATTAAAAAGTTAATATGTGCTAGCCACTTGTGAGCATGATTTCAATTTATTCTTCACAACAACCTTTGGGGATAAATACCAACATTGCCTTCATAATGATGTGAGGAAAATTAAACTGTACATTATAGTACTTTTCCAAGACCATGTAACTATAAAATGATGGTGCAAAGTTTGGGATCAGAGCAACCTGAAACCCAGAGTGTCTGTGTTAGAGAATCATGCTATGAACGTGTAAATACAATACTTATCTCTCTTTATATTTATGCATATATTCGTCTGTCCCAATAAACTAGGAATGCCATGAGGTGAGACCATATATAGCACATTTTTGTTTTGGTAGCTTTAAAGATAATGACTGGATCACAGCAGTTATTTAATTAAACTTTTCTGAGACACTTTCATGTTTTTCAGAGAGGGTCCTGCTAATAATAGGAACATTACAATTGGTTAAGAAGATTCTATGAATAATTACATACTAAGATTTTTAGAGTCATGCCTGGCACATAGGAACTGTATGATAGATATTACCTCCACGAATGAGGTTGGAAATGAGTCACAGAAGTATGTGATATCTTTCTGATAAGATGATGACTTTGGGGTAGTTACCCCACTTCTAAGAATAGTTATCGGGAAGATGCAATGAGAAGAGACAGAACCTTCTGTTCACGTTCATTTATATAGTGATGAAGGGAAAAGGAATTTCAAGGTAATTTTCTCTCTGATGATGTATGCTCGAGATATTTTGGGGCAAGGCAATAGGAGTCTGGAGCTTTGCTTACTGGGTCCTCAGAAATCTTGTGTTTCTATTGTTCTCTGCTCTACAGGCTTCACTATGTTTAGGATTGTTTCTGTGGCTATGGCCCCTCTCTTCTTCCCTTCTCTTTAGGAAATATTTATTGAGTTCCTAGTGCCAGGAACTCTGCTAGCCACTGGTTACTTTGGGATGGAAAATAGGAATAGTTCAGCCCTCACGAAGATTACAACAAGCTTTTAGCCTTTCACGGACTGTCTCTTGTGTTTTATGTGTTACTATGCTTTTATCCTTAGTAAGAACGTGATATATACGTATATATACGCGTATACGTATATATGTGTATACGTATATATACGCATATACGTATATATGTGTATACGTATATATACACATATATGTATATACGTGTATACATGTATATATGTGTATATATGTATATACTATATGTATACACACATATGTACATAGATGTGTATATATGTACATAGATGTACATGTATGTACACATGTACATAGATGTGTATATATGTACATAGATGTACATGTATGTGTATATATGTACATAGATGTACATGTATGTACACATGTACATAGATGGGTATATATGTATATATACCCATCTATGTACGTATACGTGTGTATATATACATATGTACGTATACGTGTGTATATATACATATGTACGTATACATGTGTGTATATATACATATGTACGTATACGTGTGTGTATATATACATATGTACGTATACGTGTGTATATATACATATGTACGTATACGTGTGTATATATACATATGTACGTATACGTGTGTATATATACATATGTACGTATACGTGTCTATATATACATATGTACGTATACGTGTCTATATATACATATGTACGTATACGTGTCTATATATACATATGTACGTATACGTGTCTATATATACATATGTACGTATACGTGTGTATATATACATATGTATATATGTGTGTATATAAGTGTGTGTATACATATAGTACATACATATATGTATATACATATATAGTACATATATGTATATGTACTATATATGTATATATGTATATATAGTACTATATATGTACTATATATGTGTATATATAGTGTGTGTGTATACATATAGATATATGTATACACATATATCATACATTCTAGGCCAACTTGTTATAGAAATTACAAATCCCAAATTTGGGGGGAAAGGTTTTAATTTCCTACCCTTAATCATTGATCATATCACTCATAAGAATATTCTAGAAGTTCCAATACACTTGTATCTTTTTACATATGGAAACAGAAGTGTCTGTGATCCTCCTGATATGGGATTTGTGAAATGTGGTCTGTTTTTGGAATGGGTCAGTTTCAAAGTCTATAAAATAGATGAATCTTGAAGACCGGTGAATGGGGACAGTTAAGTGTTATTCTGTGATCAAGACTTGATTGTAGTTGGCAAGATTTGGGAATATACAGAAGTCCAAAATAACATCTAATGAGAGATACTGGTAGAGTATTTTCAGATATAAAATACCAGGTAGGGAGCTCAACTCTTCTATGTGACTAAGGAAGACTCAATGCATGAGTCACTCAGTGCAGAATGTACCATTGATATATTGTTTCTGAGTTTTCATGTATAATTCACTTCCACAGTGCATGGTAAATGGCCATATATTAAGAAGGTCAATCAATAAAAGTAAAAAAAGGAGGAACAAGACTGAGAGCAAGGGTGCAGAAGACCAGTGAAACAGAGGCTTATGTTCAACAGGGAAAAAAATAGCCTGTTAATTTTAATGTCATCTTTGCAAAAGACATGATGAATTTAGGTCAACATAATACATTGAGGCAGATCCTTATTTCCTACCACACAATACACACACACACACACACACATACACACACACACACACACAGCATCTATAGGACCTGGCCTAGTTCTTTGATTAATGTACACAGAATGGGTAGGAAAAAAAGTGAAGTTATTTTCCCAAGAAAAGAAATAAATCTGACTAAACCTACATATTTTGTTTTCCTTTAAAATTTTTAAGAAATCTTTAGGAACCTGGAACCCAATGATATCAAGTGGGAGTCTGAAAGAAAATTCAATTTGAGTTAAAAAAATATTCTTAGTGGAACAATTTTAACAAAGGGAAAAAAGAGGACTCAAGAGATAGCATAATGAGAAATAGCAATAACCCTTCCAGCAATCATAGCTTGATGGGTGAACATAATCTGAGATTAGAAGGCCCACCAGGGAGCTGCAAAGTTACAGGACTGCTTGATGAAATAATTTAATACCTACTGCCTCCAATAAACAGGATGTACAAAGAATGCTCGGTGACCTGGCAGTCCTGCTAGCCCACAGCATGAGGGAACCTGCTTCAGGAAGTGATAGGTCTGATATTTCCCAAAGATTTCCTGCAAGCCCCTATTTATTCCTTTGACTATTTGTTTCAGCTTTACTGTGTGCTTAGACTGTAAATCAGGTCTATCTGAGAAATAAACACAATAATATAAAAAATTAAGAATAAACTAGATATGATTATAATTATTAACACCTTTAATTTGCATGGCATTTCAAAGTTTTTGCATCTTTTTATGTTATTTGATCTTCAACACAAGCCTAGGAGGCAGTTTTTGCAAGATAGGTGTTGATAATATAATAACTACTGTTACTCTACTACCATTTTTTAAATAGGAATGTTAACAACACAATCAGCATTTATTATTTGTTATTATTATTTGACACTATGCCAGACTCTTTCCTGTGCTCATTATCTCTTTTAATCTCACAACAGTCATATAAGGGGACTAAGGAATTGAGGCTTTGGGGGAATAAACTACACACACAACACAGAATTATTTCTTGGTGGGATCAGTATTTGAACCCAGGCTGTCTGTTTTATATATCCACTGTCTTACCTTGCACACAGTATAAAGGTTAGTATTTGTCCTTAACTCACACATCTATTGGACTCAAATTTCTCTTCCCACTATACCAATCTTAAATGCTAATAATCAGTTTAGCATTAATACAAACTGGGCCATAGGAAAGTAGGCAGCCATATTGACCTTCCCAGAATCCCTCTAGCCTAGAGAAAGTCCTTTACCCATGGAGCTCGGGGCCCTCTAACATCACCATTTCATTTGTAAAGGCTTCCTTCCTGGTAAATGGGACAAGGCACACTGTCTACAAATTAATAAGCCAGATCTCCAGGACCCTGTAGGGCAAAAGCTTGAGCTGCCAGAATGAATTTTTGATTTATTTACATCAAAGCCCAAGATAGGCCCAGATAAACGTCACACCTGTCATGCCCGTCATAGGAAAGCAACCAAGTACAGAGAGGGGATGTAATTCCAATTTTCAATTGTTGGATGCCTCCTTGAAATACCAGCAATTGGGCCAATTAGCTTCAGTTGTTGGGATGATATTAGATCCCTATCTCGTAACCATCAGAGTGAAACCAATCATTCATTTCACATAGGCACTGCAGTGCCATCAGATAGTAATGCCTTTTAGTTACCGCCAACTTGGGGCATTTTTGAAATAGTGACCTCAAGATTTAAGCTGCAAGAATTCCATTATCTATTCTCAAGCCAGCCACAGCTGAATTTTTGAAATATCCTATTAAGTTTTCTGCTCTGATAAAAATTCAGAGGCCCTTTTCATATTAATCTCCCCATGGCAAATGAAATTTGCTGAGTGATAGATTTAATTTGCTTCTATTTATGCATTACTATATTTTGGAAAAAAAGATAATAATTGCTCTCAATATCACTTTTTCAGCATTAAGAAAAAAATCATAAAGACTTAAGTTCTTTTCCCATTTATTTCATTGTTCAGACTCCACACAGTAAATAGCTTATTCTTCACCTTTGGATCACTTTGGCATTTTAATTAAAATGTAATTACCATTCAAAGTGTATTAATGCACAAGTTTAGGTAATTGTCTATGTCAGGTCATTAGGTATACTTCTAAAAGGAAGCTTAAAGTAATCTAAAATATTCAGTAAAAATATACTGTCTACATATTTACCTAAGAGGTGGTATATCCTAGCATATTTTATTATTCCCTTAAGACAATCTTCCCATTTTAATTATGTAATGAAATTGACAAGGTGTATGAAAGAGAGAGGAAGAGTTCCCAGTGGAATTTGTAATAATGAAATATAAATGTTTTCATTGCTGTGGATTTGTAGAAAATCTATAGGATCTTGAAATAAAAGAAAATTGATGGCTCATATTTCTTTCAAAAATGAACAAGGAAAAATAAATGTATTTTAATAATAGAAGAGGGACTAATGTTTCAAGCACACATCTCCTGCCCACCATGGCCTTCCCACACGACATATTTTTCATGAGTTGGGGCCTATTCCTATGTTATCACTTGGTTTTGGTGGATAATTCTGAAACTTACAATAATTTTATTTTTCTGTATTGTTTTCCTGATTGAAATCAGTTGAGATACTTATAAAGGAAATTTCTAGGGATGCTAAAACAACATACCATACCCCAATATTAGTATCTTCCAGCAACAAAGGGTTATTTCTTTTCATTCCGCAGTCCATTGCGGTTGGTTTGCACTCAGCTTCACAGCTTCTCCATCAGGAAATCAGGCTGACTAAGCAGCCCCGCTTCAAACATTACAGTTGCCTTACTGGGGATTAGTATACTAACAATTAAAACCTCCAGCCCAGCAGTGAGTAATGATGTTTCTTCCACAATGTATTGCACAAAACCATTCACATGGTTCCCATCACTTCTAAGGGGAATGGGAAGTGACATCCTGCTACATGTCCCAAGGCAGAGCTGGACATATTTGGTGAACATCACTAATACCCCAAATAGCATTAGCTACATATTATTATGATAATGCAGTAATCACTGTATAGCTGTACCATGATTAGATTGACTCATTTAAGACATGAGATCAGAACTTTTATAGATTCAGTGATCAAGATGGCCTTAAGGATCTCCTCCACTTGATTCAATCTTAGTCAGTTTTCTTCCTAATTGTAGCCCGTTATCTTTCTTAGAGCACTCACTTTAGAAAACTTTCTACTGCAAATTATCTCTCTGCCCCTTTGAGATGTAAAATATTTTAGCCTTTTGCCAGGTTTCATACCCAGAAAAATCTTAAGAACCCGAAAGGCATCTCTTGAAATGTATTATCAAGGAAGATAGTACCCCCACCTTCCACTTTCTGTAGGAGAGCAGGAGCCTAACTTCAATAAGTGCCAATTAGCAAACAGAGATGGCCTCAACACATTGACCAACCTCTCTCCCTAATGTCCTCCAGTTTTTCCACTGGCTCATTCCAGTGCTTAAAAATTCTCCTGTGTTTTGTTTTAGCGAAATTGAGTTCAGTCTCTTTTCCCTTGCAAGACTCTTTTTCTGAAGAAAAAAAGTTGTACATATGTAAGATGTACACCATGGTGTTTCGATATACATATGCATAGTGAAATGATTATTACAGTACGGGAAATGATCCAACACTTTCCTGAATTACCTTTTTTTCTTTTCTTTTCTCTGTTTTTGTTATAATAACACCTGAAATCTACTCTTAGCAAATTTTTAATATGCCAATAAAGTATTTCTTCACTGTTTAACTCTTTCCAATGCGATTTGTCTTTGACCTTATCACACCATTATTCAGCATCTAGGGTGTGTATGCAAGACCCCATACTAACTTTGGGAATTAATAGTAATAATAATTAATGATAATAGTTTTTAGAGAATTCTTAATTGTCTAGCTTAGCAAATGATGGGTACTTTACGTATTTCTTAGTTAATTCTCAGAAAAACCCTATGAGATGTTTGCAACTAATCCTCGTTGTTATAAATTTGGAAACTGAGGCACAGATAGGTTTAGTTAAGAAATTGCCTGGAGTCACAAAGTTCGGAGGTGTCATAGTCAGAAGTTTCATTTGAATGTAACAAATTAGAGATTACACTTATCTACATAGTTTACAGGGAGTGATGAAAAATATAAGAGATCACTGAAATATAATATATGAAGGGCATTTAAGAAGACATGTGTGTTCATGATTCTCTGTAAAGACCCAGTGAAACCTCACTTAGGGTGTGGAGAAGGGAAAAGAAATCTAGGAAAAGATAATCCACGGAGAAGATACTATATTTGAATCTTGAACATAGCCTATTATGCCTTTCCATAGTTGATCTGAAGGAGCAGTTTATTCAAAGGCAAAGAGGCATGAAAAACCACAGTGATTTTGTAAAACAAGTATTTTAAAACAGCCAGATGCGGAGTGAAAGAGGAAACTGAAAATTATATCTGTTGCATTTTTGGTTACTATGCCATCTATTGAGTGACTTCTGTACCTGGCACATTGATGTCTTACAGTCAATATTATTTAAAGCTGAAATAATATTGTAATCTATGTACGGATTAGACAATATATACTTTGAAGATATAACAGAAACCAAGCAGACATTGTTTTTTGCATTCTTGCACTTATAAATATAAGAATTAATGAAAAAATAGAATGCAAGATAACTGCAGTGGTTAAGTGTAATAATATAAGTAGACAAAGGATTAGTAATGACATAAGTAGGTAAAGAAATAGAACGTAACACATGAAAGGTGTTTTATTTTGTAAAGGGATGTCAGGGGAAAGATAGGAAATATCAAAGCAGAGAGAGCAACATGTATGAAGGGGCGCTAGTGGAAACAAGCACCATTTGGCTCTTGGAAGAACTGCAAGCCACACTGGATGCAGGGAAATAAGAAGGCCATGATCAAAGATAAAATCAGAGAAGTGGGAAGAGGCAGACCGTGTTAGAAATGTAAGCTAGCATAACTGAAATAAATTTAATTTTAAATGGAATATGAAAGCATTGGAAGGTTTTAAACAGGGTGATGACATGACTTGAATTTACTGAAATAGTGACAACTCTGATTGTTCAGTGGAAGAGCCACTGTGTCTGGTGTCAAGAGCTGAAATAGGGACACATATTGGGAAGCTGTGTCAGTGGATGAGGTAGGAGATGTTGGTGGCTTTAATAGGGCACAGAGCCAGGGAAAAGTAGTCAGATTTGGAATATGATTATTTATTTATTTATTGTTTCCAAAACTTAAACAAATTTCTTTGAACACTTGGAGAGTTGGATACAAATGCCTGATAACCATGTCAGGGAAGATTACTTCCCAACTATCATTGGGGAAGATTACTTCCCCATTGATTCCATTGACCATTTCTTCTTCTCTACAGAGGTCTGTTCTCAAAGTCTTACAAAGTAAGAGAAAATGTGTCTGCTCCTTTACTTCCATGTTTGTTGGAATAAGAGTGATTTGATGACAGTAATTATGTGCCCAAATTTTTCATAACTGTTTGGTGATTATTAAAGTTTTGCAGTGAATGGTTTTCCCATTGGAGTATTACAACCAAACATTTATCCTAATTTGGTTGTGGCAAGTTCATTCACATGAAATATATAGTCATTATTAATCCTTTTCTTCTCCACCAACAAAGCTGCTAAGGCATTTTTCTGCACATCAGAAGATAATACATCGTAACACTGAGAGGCACCTTGATTGAGAAGCTGACATGTATTTTCTAACTGCAGCCAAGTACTATTTCTAAGTAAAGTAGTTCTCTTCTTTGCTCAAGAAGTATTTGCAAATTATCTGATAACATTCCACGAAAGTGTAAAGAGTCCTATTAAAAATTCTAAATGATATTTCCTTTATCTGTAACTAGAATGTTCTCCTCACATTTACAAAGCAGGTAACAGCCTTCTTCAAAGTCCTTTAGTGTGTTTCCTGGAAGGAAGATGAACTCCTCTGAAAAAAAAAAATCACATAGGAAGAAAAAGCAATTGTAGACATCCTCTTTCCTGAAGCCAGTTGTCATCTGCACTGTTATAGCTACAAAAGAAGGATGGACAAAAGTGTTGAGCAACAGGTTCCTATAAGCCAAGCAATGAGGATAGTGATCTACTGGAAAATAACTCCATCAGCCACTTTTGAGTCTCCGGAGTCCACTTTCTGAATCACCTGGCCTTTGACAAAGCTGGTAAGGTCGGAATGCAGAAGTATGTTGGACTGGACATGTCTTTGGTAGCTTTATTATTGGGCCAAATGGGAAACCTTCTGAACACCTGGGGTGAGCCTTTCAGCTGTAAAATCTTTCCCGCCAGAGCATGAGTGTCCATGGATGGCTAGTTCTGAAGCGGAAGAGAAACTATTAGGCCCAGGGTCTCAGAACCAGGCTTTCAATTTGCAGAAGCTGCATTTTGTAGGCAGCTTCAGTAACAAAGGCATCCACGCCCTCAGATTGCTTCTGAAGAATGTATCTTAGAACCAGGTTCTATGGGCTCTGATTCATCTTCCCAGCTGTCAGAGATCAAAGTGACATAGCATCTCCAAAGTGTGCATGAAAGTTTCAAAAATTTCAGAGAGAATCTTTCTGGCTTTCAACAATCCAATTGTAGATTGTTATGGCTTAGCAACCTCTAGAAACATATATACATATATATATATATGTATTTCTATATATATATAGATAGATAGATATATTCTTCTAATAACTTAGCATAACTATTGCTAATTGGGATAAGGCAGGTCTCAAAAACTTTTTTAAAAAATGACTTCATAACAACATTCAGAACACTACATCTAGGAGTCAGTATCTTGGCAGAGCAGCTTCTTTTCTCTTCTAGGAAAGATTTAGCAGACACATAACCATTTCCTAAAATAGTTTTTACATATTCAGAGAATAGAGCCCAGTGGAGTTTATTGCCACCATAACAGCACCACATGAAAAAGGCACCTGACATTCACACAGCTCACCAACTGGTTTCATTTTCAGGAAGTCCATTCCTGCTGCTATAACTGGCACAGACAAATCATGCTTGTATGGGAGAAAAGACAACACCAGAAAGTCAACGTAACTTTGATGACTGAGCAGAAGAACAAGATGCTCCTGGTTGGCTTGCTACAGTTTCTGAATACCTCCTACATTTACACACACCTTTGAGAAAATTTGTTTAAATATTTTGCTTAAGGGAAAGACAAAAAACTGAATGGCTCCCAGACGCAGTCTGTGACTCATTTGATCCAAGATCTCACTAACTTCCTTTGGAATTCCTTAGAAAATTGTTTAATGACTGTTTTAGTGCCTTAGTGTTGCTATAAAGGAATACCTGAGGCTGGGTAATTTATAAAGAAAAGAATTTTATTTGACTTAGGGTTCTTCAGGCTGTACAGAAGCATAGTCCATGCATCTGCTTCTGGTGAGGCCTCAGGAAGCCTCCACTCATGGCATAAGGGGATGGGGAGCTGTCCTGTCACATGGTGAGAGAGGAAACAGGAGAGAGAGGGAGGGAAGGAAGGTGCCAGGCTCTTTTTAACAATAAGTTCTTGTAGGATAAAACTTACTCATTACCAGGAGGACAGCACCAAGCTGTATTGAGGAGTCTGCTGTCATGACTCAAACACCTCCCACTGGACACCACCTCCAATGTTTGGGGTCAAATTTTAACATGAAATTTGAAGTGGAGAAACATCCAGCCTATAGCAATGACATAATAACTCTCTTCATAATTAAGAACACTATATTTAAGATTACTTGGCTTACATGGAATAATCCCCTTATAAACAAGAGGTGCAAATTTCAAGTCACTGACATGCCTCCTCTCCTCTACAATGTTTTCAAATTCATGCCACCTTTTGAGCTTCTTTGAGTCGAAGAGCATAATGGTTTTAGGGCTGGTGGAACCAATGGATAAATGAGAGTAGATGAGCTGGAAGGGTCTCTGGTATGGCTGCTGACTTGGGCAGAGCCTGGGACTCTTATGCTAAGTGGCTGTGGTGCTGCCACTGGGGGAGTTTCTTTCATGTAGGGTGGTGACACACTTTGTGCTTGGTCCACATGACCCTGGTCGCCTTCGTCTTAACCCTGGAGTACATTTTAAAGACAAAAGTAACAGGCTTTACCGAGAGACTGTAGATTGTGTGACATTAAAAGAGAGGACTTGATACAATTTTATGTTGCCTAAACATTATCCTATTTACTGAGATGCTCATAATTCAAGGATGAGCAATAAATTATGGTAGAAATTATAAGTCTTGAGTATTTAGTCTGGAGATTAAAAGAGTTACCAGTATAGTATTGTCATTTAAAGCTGGGAGACTAAATGAGGCAATTTAAAAGGCTAAAACACATGGAGAAGAACACAGAGTTTGTTTTTGGCTCTATTTTCTATTTTATTTAAAAGTGCTATTCAAAGTACTTTGAAGTAGCCATTAAATGAAATAATTAATGTATACTTAATCATCACAAAACTATAGATGATAAATGTTGTCTTTTGTATTATACAAAGAAAAAATTATGACAGTAAGTTAAGTAAATTGAACAAGATTGCACAACCTTTGGAGAGAGTTGAAATACAAAAACATATTGGACACTCCTCGAAGCCTGCTGTATACCGTGCTACTCAAAGAATCTTCAATCTCCAGTAATAGCATCAGCTTGAGCTTCCTGGAATGTTAGGCCAAATGGGAAACCCTCTGAACACCTGGGGTGAGCATTTCAGCGTAGTCTTTTCTACAAGAGCATGAGAGTTCATGGATGGCTGGTTCTGAAGCAGAAGAGCAACTCTTGGGCCCTTCATACCACAGCTTGTGGGGGATTTTATAACAAATTCAAGGTGATGCTTTGGTATATCCATTTGCCTTCTTCTTGCATCCCTCAGATCCCAGGATCCTCTATTGTAACTTTCACTACAGCTTGCCCTTCAGTTTGTAAGTATTAACTCATTTGAGTTATCTCTTAGATTGTAATTTCCATGCAATTTTTATTATAATGTAAACATCTAGCACAGTTTCTGGCTAGCATCAGCACTTGCTGAGTAAATGAATGAATTTTTTTTTTTTAATGCCAATGTCTCTCTCAGTTTAATAAGTTAAAACCTCTGCTTTCCGGCCGGGCGCAGTGGCTCACGCCTATAATCTCAGCATTTTGGGAGGCCGAGGCAGGCGGATCACGAGGTCAGGAGATGAAGACCATCCTGATGAACATGGTGAAACCCCGTCTCTACTAAAAATACAAAAAAAAAATTAGCTGGGCATGGTGGAGGGCACCTGTAGTCCCAGCTACTCGGGAGGAGACTCCGTCTCAAAAAAAAAAAAAAAAAAAAAAAAACAACAAAAAAAAGCACCTCTGCTTTCCTCTCCCTTTTTCATTTTTAAGATTTTTGGTCAGAAAATTAACGTTGACTGCTCTTAGTAGGCCAGCTCATCATCTGGAATTTGACTTTCATGAAGCACATTTGGCTCAAAGGAAGGAAACTATACCTCTCTCTAAGGCATGGTCTCTTAAAGAAAAGATGGCCTAATTAACTGGCTAGCTGGTTAAAATATATATTCCAGGACTCCAATCCAAAAGATTTAGAATTACAAAGTCTTTAAGGAGCACTCAGGCAATCATGCAGCACTCCAGGGTTGAAAATCTATACCCTATCCTAAGGGATTTTCTCTAATGTACCTGATCATTCCCCTCTGTATTGATTGGGAGATCTTTGTCCTTAGCCACTTCTCTAAAACACAGACTTGGAGTTGATAGTGTTGGACCTAAACATCAGTTGCTATTCTTATAGGGGGCAAAATCTTTCTGTGAATTTTTTAACCTTTCTAGTATTATTTTTAATTCTTTTCAAATACATTACTTTTTATTCCCTCCACTTGAAGATACTTTTATTATTTTGTCTTTTTAAAATGCCAAGTGATGTACTTAACATGTAGCGCACTCAATAAATGGTAGAAGTCGTCACAGATTTTGTTTATTATTAGTAGTAATAGCTTGCATGGTGTCTAGGGGACTGACCAGTTAGGCAGGGATGTGATATTTGTAAAGGTGTCCAGTACCATCCATGTTGTGAAGAAGACACTCTTTTTTAGGTCAATAATACAACATTGCTAAGGGATACATGGAATATAGATGCAAATAGCATACTAAAATATAACAAAGAATCTGGCTTTTAGTTTTATAATTAAAGAATTGCTTGGCTGCTTGTGTATGGGGCAGACAGTTCGGCCCCATACTGTTTCTATAACAACCATGACTATATCCAGGTAGACTAGAAGATGCTGGTTCTTCACAGTATTTCTCTAGTGCAACCTGAATAACTAGAATTAAATTCTGGGTCACATGATTGCAATTATGTCTGTTGGAATTTTATGTAGAGTTGGGATATTTGTCCAACATGACAAAACAGGCTGAGTTTTTCTGAAACGGTGAGCAAATCTTTCTTTCTCCTCTTTACACCCTGAATGGAGTGGCAAATCCTGTCATTCTTACTCCTCTCTGGGATAATCCCCATGGCTTACTTCTCATTGAATTCTAGGGGTGGTGGAAAGGCAGCACTCGCTTATGCATTTTATTTACTTGTAAGTAAGAGCCTTTCTTCTTTGTTCAAGGGTGAATTCCTTTAGAGAACCAGAATCTGCAAAAATCTTTGTCTTTGGAACTGGAAATTAACAATTTAACTTAAAAAACATCATTGGGACAGTTTAACCAGGGTGGTGGTGGGGTTCTAATTATTTTTTTTCAAATGAAAGTAAAAATGGTGGCCAGAAGTTAAGCCAAGTATTAGATTCAAAGAGAAGGATAAAATAAAATTTATTTTTATTTTATGGCAAAATAAAATTTATTTTTATTTTATGGCAAAATAAAATTAGGAGAATAGAGGACATAGTGTGTTAAACAATATAGCTTAGTAAACATTGCTTAAGACTGAAGCTGTTAGAAGAACCTTACAGAAACCTGCAACATGTGCTTAGAGATAAAAAAAGTAATTCACGTTTTTGAGTGTTGTCCACTAAGCACTATTTTATGTATTTTGCATATAATGTCCCATTTAATTTTCAAACTATTTGAGATGTTGTAGGAAATAGAGGTACCAAGAGTCAAAGTCAATTGTTTATAGTTCCAAGTCTACCTTTAGTGCAGCACTGTTTAGTACAACTATCTGTGACTATGGAAATGTTTTTAATCTGTACTGTCCCATATGGCAGTTACAAAACCCATGTAACTATGTAACTAATGAGTACATGAATGTGGTTACTGTAACTGAGAAAATGCCACATTTAGCTGGTGGCTTCCAGATTGGACAACCTAGCTCTGGAGCTGAAGCATGTAACCATAATGCCATACCACCAACTTTTGCCGGATAGTCTTGCAGTACTAGGTAGTGCAATCTCCATATTTGTAATAACACTTGAAAGCTAAAAAAGGAGCTAGCCATTAAAAGATGCCAGAAAACAACACTCTGGGCCTAGGAAACACAAGATAAAGATGAACAAATTAGACATATATTTTTAGTGTTCTCTTGGAATTTAGTGGATTTGAGGAAAGATTGAAATGGGATGAAGCTGGAGAGGTTAGCGAAAAATTGTACACCCAGAAGTTTAGCTATCTGGAAAGTGGAGAGAATGCCTGCTTCCCCTGAGTATGTGTTTTAATAATGACAACTTTTGACTACTTATTTATTTTAATTTATGCATTATTTAAGATAACACTGGCTACAGCAACAAATGCCTCAGAAGGATATATCTGTTCAAACATATGAGAAGTCTATTTTTGCTCACCTGAAATAAAGATCAACAGGCAACTCAACTCCAAGTGGTAAGTTGAGGAATCTAGGCCCCTTGTTTCTTGTGGCTTGGCCACTTTCCACGAGACCATTGTATTATCTTTTATCCTTCTCAGGAAAGGAATAAAGGACATCAAGGATTCATGAAGCTTTCTGTGAACCATTCCCAGTTGCAGTGAGCATCAATTCTACTCACTACAGGAACAGAATATTACACGAGCTAGTCACATGATCACCAGAGTAGCTGGTAAATGTGGGTTAGCTATAGATTTAGGAAGAAGATGAAATGGGTTTTTTGCACAGCTCTACTCTCAGCCACATAATAGTTGTTACTTAAACCTATGATGAAATAACATTAGGACAGGCAGTTTGAAATACACAGCTGAAATATCATTTTCAGACCAAAACATACAACCGAAGATAATCAACACGTAACACGTGTTTTATGTCATCACTCAATTCTTCTTAAATTTTCAGGTCCCCAGTTTACTCACTTTGATATTAATACTGGCATTTGGTACTTATAGGCCAAGGCATTCAAGACACAAGGGTAAGAGAAGAAGTACGCATTTGGCATTCAGGAGTTTGGACCAAACTGGGATCTGGCAATCATGTAGAGCATGATGGGAGATAAGAATGAAAGAGTATTTTTGAAATAATCACGGAGAACCTGGACTAGTCATATTTTATTCTTGCTTTGCTCACCATCATGTACTTGGGACTTCTTAGTCCCCATTGGGCTAATTTGGATTTTGGAAAGTGGACAATTTCCAATGCTTGTTCAGTACTTCCCAATTGACAAAAATATTTCTTCTAATGGGAGTTTGGAGTACACCTCACCTTAAAATGCTCTTGGGCAATGGAGAAAAGACCCAGACATAAAAATAAAATGACAAATATAAAACAGAGAGTCACAGATGCTCATAGTTGATAGTGGGAATCTTCTATTTAAATACATATGTACATGTAGGCATATGTACATACCCACATAAATACATAGAATAATATGGTTGTTATGAGCAGAGGCTTTGCAGACAGAATTTAGTTTCACATTTTTGTACAATTATTAATGTATAGCTTTGGAAAAGTTACTTAATATTACTGTGTCTCAGTTTTGTCATCTGTAAAAGAGGAGTATGAAATTTACCACCTTCTGTTATTTTGAGGTTTAAATGAGGAATATATGTAAAGCATTAAGAAGTGGATTATTGAATGCACTATACACATTAGTTATTATCTTTAATACTTTCAAATTATAAGTGAGGGACATCAAATCCCAAGTGTTTCAATGAATTATCATTTTCAAATAGCATAACCTTTCCAAGTTTCATTGTCCTGAAGCCCACATCCTCTTGGGATATAAAAAATTACTAGCACTGTCTCTAGAGTTAGACTTTTTGAGTTTGAATACTAGCTCTTACCTGTTAACTGTGTGCTGGAATTTTTCTAACATCTTCAAATCTCAGTTTTCTCATGCATAAGTAAAATAATAGTTAATTCTTAAGATTGTTTTGAGTTTGGAATGATTTTTTTAGAGCATTATTCTCAACGTCAAACACAAAGTCAGCACTCAATAAATGGTGTCAGTGACGATGGTGGTGATGATTAGGTGATGATGATTCTGCTAGTTTATTCTTACATAAACGTTACTTTTGTGAAAAGAATAATTTAAAATTCTTTTAACAAACAATTCCATTTCTTAATAGGGAGGAACAATGTAGTATAACTTTTTTTACTGTATTGTTAATGTTCTGGACTACCTGTAATTGTTATAGATGATTTTTTTCCAATCTAATTATATACCCCTAAAAGGAAAAGAGAAATTAAATCAGCATCAATACATGATTTAAACAATAAAACATCCAGAAAGTTATTTCAGAATACATTGAGTTTCAATAATTAATAACTCATTGATAGAAATAGTGCTTAATATATTACAATTGAGTCCTAGCTCATATTTCAGACACACAACTAATATTTAAATATAATATGTTATACTCTTGACATTTGTGCAGACAACTCATGAACTAGAGCCCATGATTTATTCACATCTGTTATAACACATTCTGATAATTTATTTGGAAGAAAGCAATCTGCATTAATCATTTATTAATTATTAATAAAATATAAGTGCTGCATTAAAGAACTGCTGTTCAAAAATAACCTTTTCTTGAAGCCAAGGACTTATTTATTTTCACCCTGCAATTTGTAAAGATTAATCACCTTTTAAGGCATTGTCCTCCAGTTTGACCCTGTGAACCTTTGAGGGAATACCTCTCACATTCAGATAGGATTGCATCTGTTAGAGATTGAATTGTTTCTCCTAAAAGAGATACGTTGAAGTCAAAATTCCTGCTAGCTCAGAATGTGATCTTATTTGTAAATAAAGTGAGGCAGATGTATTTAGTTGAGGTCATGCTGCAGTAGCGTACTCCCCTATTCCAATATGTCTGGTGCCCTTAAAAGAATTTGTGAAGACGCAGAGACATGGGGCGAATACCATGTGAAGATAGAGGCAGAGATTAGAGTGTATTAGAGTGATGCATTTATAATCCAAGAAATGCCAAGGATTGCTGGCCATCACCAGAAGTTAGGAGAGAGCAACAGAACAGAGTCCTGATGCCAGGCGCGGTGGCTCATGCCTGTAATCCCAGCACTTTGGGAGGCCAAGGCAGGTGGATCACCTGAAATCAGGAGTTTGAGGCCAGCCTGGCCAAGATGATGAAACCATATCTCTACCACAAAATACAAAAATTAGTCTGTGTGGTGGCGTGAGCCTGTAATCCCAGTTACTTGGGAGGCTGAGGCATGGGAATCTCTTGAACCCGGGAGGCAGAGGTTGCAGTGAGCCGAGATCACGCCACTTCACTCCAGCCTGGGTGACAGAGTGAGACTCTGTCTCACGAAAGAAAACAAAACAAAACAAACAAACAAAAAAAGGACAGAGTCCTGAGTCCTGGAGAAAAAAACCTAAGCCTGCCAATACGTTGATTTTAGACTTCTAGTCTCTAGAATTGTGAAATAATAATTTTTATTGTAATTTAAGCTACCCAGTTTGTGGAGCTTTTTAACAGGACCTCTAGGAAACCAGTAGAGTGTCCTTTTACCACCTCTCCCAGCATGCCCACAAAAGCCTCCAAAGGCTTCTCTGAAGAAAACAAACACACAAAAAGCTTGCATGATGTTATTAGAGAACTCTGAGCAAAACCTCCAATGCCTGTCATTTACAAGATTAGTAAATTGAAGACATAGCAATGGAAATGATCTAAAATGACAAAGAACAGAATAATAATCACAAAAAAAGAACAGAGCATCAGTGAGCTGTAGAACAACCTCAAGTGGCTTATTATATGTGCAATTAGAATTCCTAAAGAAAATAAAGGGAAGAACATAAATAATGTTGCAGAAATAATTGGAGAAAAATTTTCGCATTTTATTTAAACCATAAAGCCACAGATTAAAGAAGCTTAATGAACCATGAAGAATGCTACACCAACACAAATGTCAAACACATTGCTTAAAACCAGTGTAAAAAGAAAACCTTAAAAGAAGCAGAGAGGAAAAGATACAATACATAGAGAAGAACAAAGATAGGAATAACAGAATAGGCTGGGCATGGTGGCCTGTAATCCCAGCACTTTGGGAGGTCAAGGCAAGTGGATTGCTTGAGCCCAGGTGTTCAAGACCAACCTAGGCCACATGGTGAAAACCAATCTCTACAAAAGATACAGAAATTAGCTGGGGTTGGTGGTGCATGTCTGTGGTCCCAGCCACTCAGAAAGCTGAGGTGGGAGAATCAGCTGAGCCTGGGAGGTGGATGTTGCAGTGAACTCACATCATGCCAATGCACTCCAGCCTGGGCAACAGAGTGAGACCCTGCCTCAAAAAAAAAAAAAGAATTTTTTTTTGCCAGGAAACAATGTGAATAAAAAAAAAAATTTTTAAATGGAGCAATGTGCTGAAGGAGGACACACACACACACACACACACACACACACGGCAACCTAAAATTCTATGGCTAGAAACAATATTTTCAAAAATAAAGATAAAGTAAAACATTGTAGACCTTTAAAAATTAAAATAATTATCACCAGTAGTTTTGCAGTGCAAGAAGAAATTTAAGTAGAAGGACAAAATACATGGAAATCTGAATATACACAAATAAGAGAACATTGGAAATGATTACCACATGGGTAAATGCTAAAGTAGTTTCTTATTTAAATCTTTGAAAGGGATAATTGGGTCTTTAAAGCAAAATTAGTAACAATATCTTCAGATATTTATAATATATGCTGACCTCACAGGTACGATAGTACAAAACTTGGTGAAAGGAATAAATGGATACACTCCTTTAAGGTCCCTATACTATATACGAAGTGATATACTTTTAATAAAAGATAGACCCTGATAACTTATATATATATGTATATATGTGTATATATATATGTTTTATATATATGTATATATATGTTGTATATATATGTTTATACATGTATGTTTTATATATATGCACACACACACATATATGTATACCAAAAGGAGATATAGCTAGTAAGCCCAATAAGCCAACAAAGGAGACAAAATGGGAATTTGTTTCATCTCAATTGATGCAGAAAACACATTTGACAAAATCTTACATCAATTCCTGACAAAACATCTAAATAAACTAGAAATAATAAGGAATCTTCTCAACCAGATAAAGCACATCCTCGAAAATATCTGCCAGTAACATACTTTAATAGTGAAAATTGAATGCTTTGTTCCAAAGCAATATTAAACACTTTCGTTGCTTGAATTCAACATTGTACTCAGATTCTCTAGTCAGTGTAATAGATGTAAAAAGGAAATCAAAGTTGTCATATTGAAAGTAAAAAACAACTTTATTTGTAGTCAATATGATTTACATTGTAAGAAAATCATAAGGAATCTACAAAAAAAAAAAAAAATGTTAGGGGTAACAAGTGAATTTAGCAACATTGTAGTATATAATGTAAATAAAATCCAATTATGTTTCCAGATACTGATATAGAAATACCAGAAATTGAAAACAAAAAATTCTCTTTATGTCAGATATATTAAATAAATATTCAGGGATAAATCTGACACACTATATGCGATTCCAGTACACTGAAACCTACACAATATTTTTGAGAGAAACAACAAGTAAATTAATGGAGAAGTATTCTCATTTTCCTGGATCAGAAGACTCAAATTGATAATTTAATAATTCTCCCTAAATTAATTATAGATTCAACACGATCTCAATCAAAATGCCAACAGAGCATTATTTGGTTTTAGAAAATGACAAGCTGGTCCAAAACTCCATATAGAATTGCAAAGAACCTAGATTACTGAAGACAAAATTGAATAAGAACAACCAATTAGTGAGGCTTACACTGTCTTAGTTCAATACATATTACAAAGTTACAATAATTAAGAAAAATGTAATATTGGTGTCAATAGGCAGAGAGATAAATGGTACATACTAGGGCCGAGATACAGACCAGATACATTTAGTGGAATAATCTTCAACAAAGCTGCAAAAATAAGTGAGCGGAGAAAAATGTCCTTTCAACAAATGGTGCAAAAACACTTGGGAGATTGGTATATATATATGTATATATCCATAAATATATATATACACACACACATATATATATGTCAAAAATAAAGAACTTCCTTTTATTGTATTGTAGAAAAAATTAACTCAAAATCAATCATAGACTTAAATATAAAGCCTATAACTATAAAAATTTCTAGAGAAAAACATGGAATAAATCTTCATGACTTCTAGTTAGGCAAAGCTATTTAAAGATATGACACAAAAGCACAATTCATAAAAGAAACAAAATGATAAATTGCACTTGAAATGTCTGCTTTTTGAAAGATCCTGTTATGAAACTAAGCAAGTAAGGCACAAAATTAAGAAAAAAAATTGCGAATACCATAAAGGGATTGGATCCAGAATGTATAAAAGACTCAAAACTCAACAAACAAGCAACCCAATTAAAAAATGTGCAAAAGTGTACCCCTTACCGAAGAAGATATACAAATAGCAAATAAGCATGTGGAAAGAAACTCAGCACCATCAATCCTTAGGAACATGTAAATTTCAACCTCAAAGAGATAGTACAATATATGTCTAAATTGGCTAAAATTAAAATTTCTGAACATTCCAAGAGTTGCTGAGGATTTAGAAGAATCAGAACTCTCAGATACTGCTGGTGGAAATAATAAACAATAGACCTTTTTGGGGAGCAGTTTGCACTTCTAGATACTGAACAAACAGATATAAAAGCATAAATCCATAAAGATATTTGCACATAAATGCTCACAGCAGCCTTATTTGCAAGATCCAAAACTTAGAAAGAACTTAAATATTCATCAATAACAATGAAAAGGTACAAGCTATTGTAGGCATCTTGGAATCACAGCGGTGAGAAAGAACCAGACAAGGAGTGCATATTATTTCATTTACATATGTAATTCCAGGAAATACTAAATAACATAGTGACAGATGTAGATCAGTCAGTGCTTGGGTACCAGGAAGAGTGCATGGGAAGGAGGGATTATAAATGAGTATGGTGAGTTTGGATGTTATTGGATACATTCATTATCTTATCTGTGGTGATGGTTTTATGTATACATATGTATACAACTATATACATATGCAGTTTGTTGCAGACAAATTGTACCTAAATAAAGCTGTTAAAAGTCACATAGATTTACTTCTTGGGAGGTGGCTCCTTCCTAGGATGGAAAGAATGTGATGGTAAGAATAGGCTGGGCGCGGTGGCTCACGCCTGTAATCCCAGCACTTTGGGAGGCCGAGGCGGGCGGATCACGAGGTCAGGAGATCGAGCCCATCCTGGCTAACACGGTGAAACCCTGTCTCTACTAAAAAATACAAAAAAAAAATTAGCCAGGTGTAGTGGCGGGCTCCTGTAGTCCCAGCTACTCCGGAGATTGAGGCAGGAGAATGGCGTGAACCCGGGAGGCGGAGCTTGCAGTGAGACGAGATCGCGCCACTGCACTCCAACCTGGGCGACAGAGAGAGACTCTGTCTCAAAAAAAAAAAAAAAAAAGAATGTGACAGAATAGGTTTATTAGTCTGATGGTGATAGGGATCCCCATACTTGAATACACAAAAGAATGAAAAAGAATGCCTTTCCATCTAGCACATTTTGTTATCTGTCTCTTCCGGTCCTCACTTCCCCTTGTATTTGAACCATCTTTCTCCTTTTCCCCTGAAGTCCATACCTTTGTTCTATTTCCAGTAGTTTCTCCTCATTACGAGCCTCTGATTTTTGCTGGTTATTCTATATATCCCTGAGAATTCAAGCCATTCCAGGCAATCAGACCTTCCCACACGATCCTTACACCTTATGTAACAATATAAAAGAGAGCCCTAGAGCCCTTTGAACTTACCCATGTACTGGAACATCTGAAGCCCACTCTCAAAATTTACTGTAGTACTCAGAAACCCAGTTGTGGCCGCCACTGTCAGTAGGGAGCTCTTCTTTAGATAATGAGTGCTTGTTAACCATTTTTCTATTCCACAGCTTTTAGGATGATCAGAAGTTTCCTTTGTCATACCTCAGCTTGCTCCCGCATGGCAGTCTTAACCCACATGCCTCTTGTTACTCTTGGTGGTTGGCCTCACCTGTTTTTATCTGTCTTTTGCAAGAATACTTTCTCCCCTAGTTTTTATTATTTTTGTTTTTGTTGTTTTAAGATGTTGGCTTTTACTTATTTATTTTATTTTTTGGGGGAGTGTGGGGGCTAGTTCTCCTAGTTGCTTTCTGTATTAGGAGATTTGAACATATTAAGGCCAATGCTATTGCTGCCATATTGCTCTCTCACTAATCCTTCTAACTACATTTTACAAATAATCTTTTTATCTCAGAACACTTTTAGATCTTCAGAAAAGTTTTGAGCATAATACAGAGTTGTCTCACACCCAGTCTACCCTATTATAATTTTATATTAGTTAGATAGGTTTGTCGCAATGAGCATTCATACTTAATTCAGGTTTCCTTAGTTTTAATCTGATGCCCTTTTTCTGTCCCAGATGCCATTTAAGATATATTACATCTAATCGTCATTCCTCCTTTAGGTTCTTCTTGGCTGTGACAGTTTCTCAGACGTACCTTGGTTTTGCTGTCGTTGTTGTTATTACTTATCAACAGTCTTTATCTTTTCAGTAGACTATTTAATTAATGGGAAAAATTTTCATGTTTGCTCACTTCACTGTTGTATCCCCATTACATTGTGCTCTTAGGTATTGTTGAATAAATAAAAGATGAAAACTAAATAAGTGTATTAGTTAAATGTGGTTAGTCTGATTTTTCTTATGAACAAAAAGCTAAAATTAGTATTATATATGCCTTTAAAGAAAACATGAAAAATGAATAAATTATTAGTATATATAAATATTATTTGGTAGGCAATGTTTTACCGCATGCATGCTCAATGAGAGAAAGTGTTTTGTGAAACAATTACTTTGTATTAAAATACTTGCAGGTCACTGATGTCATCCATCATTTATACTTTACGAAAATTAAATTAAGTTCAAAATAAGGCAAGCTTCCAGGATGGTAAACTGACTTACAAATTGAATATATAACTTATAAATTACTTATGATGAAGATCAAGTTCAATTTTATTATTGTTTATCAGTAACTATCTTTAAAAATAGTTTAAAATAGTTCATTACCATTTAATTTGCCTGAATTCTCTAAAATTATGTTAAATATATATGTGTATGCCCTTTATTTAACACATTTAAACAGCAGTACAATCACAAATGTGGCTCAAAATATGGGCTTGTCCTTCACTTCAAAAGAATTCCACTGTTTTCTTTTTGAAGTGTAGTTTGACGTCCAGGTGGAGCAGTTTGTAGTTTCCAAATGACCATCTGTGGAAACCGACACATTTTTCAGCCATTCTTTCCTCTTAAAAGTAATGAACAATTTCTGGGGGGCAAGTGAATAAGCTGTCTGTGGTGTATTGATATAAAACTGCTTTTTTCCCCCACAGTAAGAATGGGAATCCTGTAGATAACAAATTATTGCAGTCAGGAACAGCAAGTATCTCAGGAACCTGGAGACAAGATGACTTTAATAAATCCTGCAATGCCTATTTGCAGTGAAAGTTTAGAAACATCAAACTTGTTACCAAAGCAATTCCCTTTCTCCCTTTTACTGAAGGGAAAGAACAGTTAGATACTTTTCCTAAAATAATATCAGTGTATCAGGTCAACTATTTATAAAATTATCATTTGTGCCTATGGTCAAATTCATATAAAACGATACGTGAAAAACTGCCTCTAGATCTGTATATCAAACTTTGAGAGGGATATAGGTCAATGAGAGCAAACTAGAAGATATTATAAGTGGTAGGGAAGTAAAGTTTCACTACCTGCTACATACTGTTTACCTGCAACTTATATTTATTACTCCTTGTAGATAAAACATGAGGTATTTAATATATCATTACTATATGTATTTTATAGAAGAAAAAGGTGGAGTTAAATTTTCCAAGAACGTATTATAAGCAAATGGATTAGCTGAGTTTCCAGTCCACATCTGTCTGACTAAAGAAGCGAGAGTCTACTTGTGGTACTATGCCTGGCTGCCATAAGAAAAAAAAAAAACATGCTTGATGGCTTAAGTAACATAAATTTATTTCTCACAGTTCTGAAGGCTGGATGTCCAAGATCAAGGTGCTGGCAGATTTGGCTTCTTCTGAAGCCTCTCTCCTTGGCTGGCAGATGGCTGCCTTCTCACTGTGTCATCACGAAATCTGTTCATGTGATGTCTGGTGTCTCTCTTCCTCCTTAAGGATACCAGTACAGTTGGATTATGGCCCCACATTTATAATCTCATTTAACCTTGATTACCTCTTTCAAGACCCTCTCTCCAAATACAGTCACATTGAGGATTCAGGTATCAACATATGAATTTGAGAAGGCAGACACAATGCAGCCCATAATACTACTAGATTAGAGTCTAGCATAAAACTAGAGAAATGCTTGATGAAAAGGAGACTCTTTGGACTGGAGAATAAAATACTAGATTAAGAAACTTATTTAGATGGCTGTGACACCAAAGAAGGATTTGACTTTCTCTATGTGGTTTCAGAGGATTAACCTAAAACTAATTTGAAGAAAGTACAAGACTATACATTTGGGCCTTCAAAACAAAAAGGATCTCTACAGGTGCCCCATGCATAAAACAAATGTTCTCTATGTGGTGACCTCTCTGTCTTCAAAGGAGCTGATGTTCAGAATATAGTTGAAACCTGCACTCTTCAATGTGGCAGCACTAGTCACATGTAACTATGAAAATTGAAGTTAATTAATTTGCATTTCTCTAATGATTAGTAACGTCTAGCATTTTTTCATACATTTATTGGTCACTTGTATGTGTTCTTTTGAGAAGTGTCTGTTCATGTCCTTTGCCAATATTTTAATGGAGTTATTTGTTTTTTGCTTGTTAAATTATTTAAGTTCCTTACAGATTCTAGATATTAGATCTTTGTCAGATGCATAGTTTGCATGTATTTTCTACCATTCTGTAGGATGTCTCTTTACTCTTTTGATAGTTTCTTTTGCTGTATAGAAGCTCTTTAGTTTAATTAGGTACCTCTTGTCAATTTTTGTTTTTATTGCAATTGCTTTTGGGGCCTCAGCCATAAATTATTTGCTAAGGCCAATGTCCCGAATGGTATTTCCTAGGTGTTCCTCTAGAATTTTTATAGTATTAGGTCATAGACTTAAGTCTTTAATCCATCTTCAGTTGATTTTTGTTTATGGTTAAAAGTAGAAGTCCATTTAAATTCTTCTGCACATGGCTAGCTAGTTATCCCAGAACCATTTATTGCATAGGGAATAAGGGAATAAAGGAGAAAGGGAGTCCTTTATTGTTATTGTTGACTTTAAGATCAGATAGTTGTCAGTAGGTGGCTTTATTCCTGGGTTCTTTATCTTATTCCTTTGGTCTATGTCTCTTCTTTTGTACCAACACCATACTGTTTTGGTTACTTTAGCCTTGTAGTATAGTTTGAAGTAGGATAATGTGATACCTCCAGCTTTGTTCTTTTTGTTTAGAATTGCTTTGGCAAATCACCCTCTTTTTTTTTTTCGGTTCCATATGAATTTTAGATTAGTTAGAATAGAAATATTCAGAGAGAGAAAAATATTTTTTAAGACAAAGCCCACAGTGAGCTGTCCTTTAGTGCTGCAGAACCCCCACCTAAAAGAACAGCAATTACTTGGATGGTTTGAGCTGATGTCCTCAGCTGAGGGTTCTCATAGAAGCAACATAGCTGGCCATGGGCTTAGCCCTCAGATGTGTATATATATATTACTATTTCCTATTATACTGTTGTTCAGATTTAGTACTTGTAAATAGACACAGTAAGGAGAAATTACACATTTTTTTTCTTAAAAAGGTGTTTTTTTCTAATTCTGTGAAAAATGATGTTGTAATTTGATAAAAGTAGTGTTGAATCTGTACATTGCTTTGGGCAGTATGGCCATTTTAACAATATTGACTCTCTGTTCCATGAGCATGGGATGTTTTTTCATTTGTTTGCATTATTAATGATTTCTTTCAGCAGTGTTTTTGAGATACCATCTCATGCCTGTCAGAATGGCTATTATTAAAAAAAGACAAAAAATAATAGATGTTGGTGAGATTTTGGAGAAAAGGGAATGCTTCCGCATTGTTGGTGAGAGTATAAATTAGTTCAGCCACTGTGGAAAGCAGTTTGGAGATTTCTCATAGAACTTAAAACAGAACTACTATTTAACCCAGCAATCCCATTACTGGGTATATATCCAAATGAAAATAAATCATTCTACCAAAAAGACACAGGCACTCGTATATTCATCAGAACACTCTTTATGACAGCAAAAATATGGAATCATTCTAGATGCCCATCAACAGTGGACAGGATAAAGAAAATGTGGTACATAAAAAAGGACAAATTCATGTCCTTTGCAGCAACATGGATGCAGCTGGAGGCCATTTCCTAAGTTAACAGAAACAGAAACAGAAACAGAAAACCAATTGCTCTATATATTCTCCCTTATTCTCACAACTGGGAGCTGAACCTGGAGTATGCATGGAGATAAAGATGGAAACAAGACACTGGGCACTGCGGACTACTGTGGGGGAGGAGGGGTGGAGAGCAAGGGTTGAAAAACTACTTTTTGGGTAATGTGTTCACTACCTGGATGGATCATTCAAACATACACCTAATCTCAGCAGCATGCAGCTTGCCCATGTAACAAACTTTCACATGTACCACCTGAACCTAAAATAAAAGTTGAAAAAAACAAATAAAAATGAATAAACTAAAATTAAATAATATTAAATATTTAGTCCTTCAGTTGCCCCAGTGAAATTTCAATATCCAATAGGCATGTAAAATATTAACTAAAAAATTATCACTGAGATCGACAAATATAGGTTCATGTTTTCTTCCCTTTTTCTTCTCTTCTTAAGCTTAGCAATGTTTATATCTCCAGAATATAGATGTTTTCACACTTGTGACATGGTAGATGGAATTTTTGAGGCTATTTTTTTTTCTTTATTTTAATTTGTTTACATTTCTTTTGAAACAAGGTCTTACTCTGGTGCCTAGGTTGAGTGCAGTGGTGTGTAGGACATTTTTTTTTTTTTTAAATAAGCACTTCCCTTTTACCGTCTTTGGATCTTTCCTACCTGATAAAAATTTAAAGGCAAAGTCATCATTGACATACAAGAACTTCTCAGTCTCTTTCCTGAATCATCAAGGATAAAACATCTAGGGAGGGGAGGTTTGATCATTGACTTGAATCTGTCATTATCCAACTACAGTTACATAGAATCAAAAATTAGTCAACTTTTTTCTCATTCATGAAAGTGATAGAGAAGGTTGTTTGCTTCAGTTATATCTTATAAAAAGTACAAATACAGAGGAGGAAATTGAGATGCAGAAAGAGAAAACAACCAGTAAGTGTATGTCAGATTTCAAACTAGGATCCATATCTCCCAATTCAATCACATTGCTTTTTTTTTTCAAAAACTATCTCATTCTTCCAATCAGTGCTTTAAAAAAATAAATCTGTACAGTTAAGTCACTGCCCTTTTCCCCTTCTCTGATAATTATTGAGAAACAATGAGTATGTTATAATTTCCAGAGTCAGATATTCAAAGAAATATTTTAAAAGATATACTGATGCCATGAAAAAAATTATCCTCAAATATTATTGAGCATCAATTACATTTAACAGACAAAGTTCTATCACTACTATTTTGAGAAAATATTATGAAGTTATTCAAAATGTTTTTGTATTAAAATCAATTTAAAATTCCAATATAATGTAAAACCATGTATTTGTTGAACTGATTGTATATATACCTATATTTATATCTTTATATATATATCTATATGGATATACATTGATCTATATCTAGATATATAGGTAGCATTATTAATATGCATATAAAGTAGACTTTGATGTCTTCCTCTATTTATTAACATTATTAAAGAAACATTATTAAATTATAATAATTATAAAATTATTATAAAAAGGAACATTTTTAAATTATAATTATGCAGATATTCATTTTAATTTTGATTAAAAAATAATCAAATTATATCGTATGGAAAGTCACTATTCTGACTGGTATAAAGGTTCTAGAAATTATCCTGGCCTTCTAGGAACTTACCTTCTAAAAAAAATCCAACATTTCAGTTTCTCTTTCATTATAGGACACTGTAAGTGCTATTATAGAAATATACACAAAAGCTAGTTTATTAAAGAACAAAGGCTATTTCAAACAGAAAGAATTCATAACAGAGCTGACAATTCTTTTTGGACTTGAAAGCAGAGTAGGATTTCAAAGGAAAACACATTTTTGAAAGGTGAGTGCATGCATTTTTGTAAGGTGATCTTGATCTCACTACATATGGTACTCAGGACAGTGCTCTCAACCTTGACTTCCCATTTAAATCACCTAGGAAACTTTTAAAATAGACACACCACGGTCCCTGCCCCTAAGACTATGATTTGATTGATCTCAGGAGAGGCCTGCTTATAAGGATTTTTAGGAGCTCTCTGGGAGATTTTCATGAGCAGCCAAGATTGAGAACCATTGCCTTGGATGATAGTCAAGAGATTGTATGAGGGCAAAATTGGCTGTTTTACAAGGCTGTTGTAGAAATCCACTATTTATAAAATGATGCTACTCAAGAGCCTTCATAATAATTTAATAAATTCATTCTTTTGTAGATAAAGGGGAAAACAAAAAATTTACTGCCTTATGTAAGATACAAATAAAGTGCCAATTCCAGTGCATAGCACATAAAAGATGAGGGAAATAAACTAATATTTTATTGAGTAGCTCATGTAAGTTTAGGACTGGGTTAGATATGATCACAAAAATAATCTTAATATATCCTCATATAAACTGCTTTATGTTGACTTGCCTATTTCCTACATAATAATTTTATGTATGTTTATATGCATGCATACATAGACACCAAAGTATAGAACTCTTAAATACTAACATTATACTAACAAGCACTTTGTTTCCAGGCAAATGTTATGAAAACACTTTGCTTTTTCAGTGTCAACAGCACTATTAATGCCACAACCTGACATAGCCTGGGTTAAAACAAAGGCCAGATCTTCAAATGTCACCAAAGATTATCAACACATTGTAAGGTAGCATGCTTATCACCAAATCACAGCATTCACATTGGTGGACTGCCTGGTGCAATGCATTCAGACAACACTTGCTCCAAGAGTAATATTTGTTTCATTAGCAAAGAACAGAACATAAAGAGGGAAAACTTAAGCTCCTAAGGAAATTATTTTAAGTTTTATCTGAACAAACAGTGACAGACACCTACAAGACTCTTTCAGTTCTGGCCCCTGTTCATTCTTCAACTGAATTTCCTGCCACCGTCTTCTTCCCTTACTGGCTCAGAACACACTGGGCTCCTTCACCACACTTGTCATCTTCACACACTATGAAGATAATCACACTCTTTTTACCTCCAGGCTCTTTCATGAGCTGTTTTCTCTTGCATGTTATCATCTTGGACAGGTTGTCCCCAGCCGCTTTAATTTTAAACAGACTCCTCTTGTTTTCTGTTGGTGTCTCTATTTTTTTTTCCAGGGAATATATTCAAGTTTTAATTATGCTTTTCAAGTATAAGCCCCATGAGAGTAAGGAGCTAATTTACTTTGTTCATTACAGTGTACCAAGCACTTAACACCAATTTCATTTTAGTAGTCACAAATAGTTTTTCAATGAATAAAATAAAGGAATAAAGAAATACAACTCCAGCATACATGTAATATAGAAAAAATCTAGCAATTGAAGTGAGCTTCCATGAGTAGACCTTTGCCCAAACTGTTTATGGATTATAGGAGGGTATAATGCAATGTGCAGTTTCTCTTTCAGCTATGACAAAAATTCAATTAAAATAAATTATTTAAAGGACAGAAGGCAATTAAAACAGCTTTGGCCCAAAATAGTTAATATCAAATGATTTTATCAAACATGGAAAATTAAAGGTTCTGTTATTAGAGGATAATAGAATTCTTGTAAATTATTAAAAAGGAGCAAGACAGCAACATGTGAAATTAGATATGAAATTAGAAAGTGACTAGTTTTTTTAATGGTGATATTATTTGTTTTAAAATAAATACCAAGCATGATGGATAAATTAATCTGATTCATGGATATAAAAATCATGCCTGGTTCTTAAATAAAGATATAATGAAACTGAGTTATGACCTTCATGGTAGACTACCATGAATAGGCATTTCTACAACCCTGTCTCATGTCTCTGCATTTGTGATATGAATAATTTGAACTGTAAAAGTGAGATAATGGAAGACTGTTGAAAAGCAATGATACATATGTTATAAAATAAGAATGTCACACATCATGAGGGCAGATCAAGAGACATGATCCTTATGATATGGAAAAAGATATTAACTGTGGAAATGTTGTTAATTACTTTCTAAATGTCATTCATTCATTATATTCATGCTATATTAGCAAAAGAAATATCTATTATCTCTTAATGGTTACTGGGCCAAATAAATACCATATTGATGAAATAATTAAATCCTTTTAATAAGAGCATTTTGATTTTGTTAAATTTATTTTTAGATATTAAAATTTTAAATGGGTTAAAGTTTCAGAGATCTGAGTAAAAAGGTCAATGTTAATTTGTGCTTATGAGAGTGTGTCTCACTTCAGTTATATAAATAATACAAATGATAGATACATGCAGAAAAGAAGTCAGAATGAATATGCATTAAAAGCCAATATGCAATCAGCATTTATAGAATGGTGATTTGGTTAATAGTACCAAGCACGTTCTTGCTTTTCATGGATTACCATTCACAATTCTAATTTGTGAGACAAGTATTTTATGGCCTATTACCATGAGTATATTCTGATGTATTTATTTAAATCACAGAACTTTGTGAGATTACTGTGCAGTAGCTGCAATGCCAGGAGAAGACTGTCAGCTCCCCATGGCTTGGCAATCTTCCACCTTTACTTATCTATGAGAAACGCCAGATACTTTAAATTCAGGTATATGAGAAACTATGTCAGGTCTATTAGAAACTACATGAACAGAGGGAAGGAATAGTACATTTCTTAAGAATGTTGTGTCTCCTGGATTATTTTAGTATTTTTTTAAATTCTGATTTTACAACAAATTAGTCATGGTTAGGAATTAAAGTTGGGTAAACCCAGAAAAGTAAGTATTTACTTAACTCTTATTAGCTGTAAGGATTTTTGCTGGATCCTAAGGAAGGGGATAAATGTAATGAGAATAAGGATGTGTCTATTAAGTTGATGCATAAATTCACATCTGTATATGGCAAAATAAATTTTATTACCATAAATATAACACGTATGTAACGCTTAAAAACAATGTTGGCATTTATGAAATGTTACTTTAAACATTTTCTGAAGTGTTTCCCATGGAATGCTAATTCTGGAAATGCCTTGTTTTTAATTATATTATTGGCTGAATGTTTTAAGAAAAAAGGACCCCTTATCAATGTATATTAAATCTCATTTTTAGCTGGGTATGGTGGCTCATGCCTGCAATCCCAGTACTTTGGAAGGCCAAGGTGAGCGGATTGCTTGAACCCAGGAGTTCAAGACTAACCTGGGCAACATGGCGAAACCCTGTCACTACAAAAAAAAATAAAAATATTATATAAAAAATAAAAAAAAGTGTGCCTGCAGTTCCAGCTACTTGGGAGGCTTAGATGAGAGGATTGCTTGAGCTGGGGAGACAGAGGTTGCAATGAGCCAAGATCACACCACTGTACTCCAGCCTAGGTGATAGAGTGTGACTCAGTCTCAAAAAAAAAAAAAATTACCCATTTTAGTAATTCACAATGCATATTATTTTGGGACTTCCAGCAATTTTTGACAAACTAAAATCTATTCAAAGATATTCATCACATTTCCTCAACTTCTTAGGCATATAATACACACACACACACACATGCACACACACACACACACAAACACACACACAGTATATATATATATATATATATATATATATATATATATATATATATATATATCTTAGTTATTTTGGGACAAAAATAAGCAATAAATATGTTTTATACAACTCACTTTGAAAAATACTGCTGGAATTTTTAAATTTTTATTTTTAGCACTTTTGCAATAAAAATTCTGACATAGACATTATTAACAGGAGTAGTCATTCAAATATTTTAATTTTTTTATGAGCACTAGAAGCTCTAAGGAAGGAAATGTCTTTGTTAACAAATTATTTTCTTTAAAAAACAGAAAAAGTAATAGATAATTTACTACTTGTTCTCTACTATGATCAATAGCTTTTATATTGAATTTGTGGAGACATCCATTTAATTCAACATTTATCCAAGACATATTTAAGTAACTCTACTCATGTACTTAAAGTATAATAACAAATGAGAAGGCTCCTGCACTCATGTGGCTCCCAGACTTATGAAGGAGATTTAAACTAATACCAACATTCTGTAGTAAGTGAGAAGGTAGAGGAGTGCAGAGCGTTCTAATAGGACGTCAACCTTAGAGACATTGGGCATGGGAAGGGTGAAGGAGCACTTGTTGAGAAGGAGAACTTAAGCTGACTTTTGGAGAACTAGTGAAAATACCTATGCTGAAATTATGAGAGGAGGTGTAAAGGTACTCCCAGCGAAGTATAGCGTATTGTAAAACCACACTGTGAGAAGCAGGAGAAGAGAAAGAAGAGGACTAGAGCATTAGCAGTTGGTATCACAATGAATTGGGTTTATCTGAAACTTATGGACACTAATAGAGTGGAGAAATAGAGGGGTATATGAAAGGAGAAACTGGAAGAAGTCACATCAATGAGTATCTTGTACTCCATGCTAAGATGTTTGAAGTTCATGCTTAAGACAACGGTGAATCAATGAAAAGCTGAAAAGCAAGTGAGTGGCGTGACTATAAAGAAGGAATTGATTCCCAGTGTTTCCTACCCTCAATGCCTAGACCCCCAAATTGGACAAATTCTAGAAGATAAGGCCAGGTGGAAACCTTCTGCAGTGAATATTTATTAGTAAACTAATTTGGGAAAAAAGTGCTCAGTGAAAATGTGGAAATGTGGAGAATGTTAAAAAATTATTCTCATAGTCAATGATACATTGTTATGGCCATATGCTGGAATGTGGGAACAGAAGTAAAAGTGACTTTTATTAAGCCCCTGGAGTGTGTGCCACACAATGCTAGGTATTGTTTCAGAAATAAAGATTAGCAAGAATTTAATTTATCCTTCACAGTTTTGACCACATAAGATGGCTGCAATTGTATTAAATGAGATAGTTTCTGAGTGCTCCTGAAACCTATTTCTCGCATAGTAACACTGATAGTTTACCATACTTTTGTATTACTTCTTTACTCTGCTACATACATTGGAATACTTTTAAGCCTGCAAACAGCTGTCGTTTGCCTCTCTTTACTCAATGCATACGCTGATCACTGACCCATAATATGCAATAAATGAACACATGCTTAAGCAATTCATACAATCAAGTATCTAGGCTGATACCTATCAAATGACTTTCAATAAAAACATAGTGTTAAACAGATAGGATAAATTCATTATTTATATTCCAGGTTTTTAGTTTCTTCATCTGTTCAATTTACTTCTGTCTCTAAACATTTTTTTTTCTCCTCACTTTTAACTTAAAGTTGTCCATATTTGCCTCACAAAACATCAGGGGCATAACGTGAAGATCTGGGGAAAGTAGAAAGGACCTTCTAATTCATGATAATTTATTAGACTTATCCTAAAGACATGATATAGTGTTCCCCTTATGGAGTTTAGAGGCTAAGAAAGAAAGTAGACATCAATCTCTAAGTTGCAAGGAGGAATTCAAGGTAAAAGTAACCCTTTAATATAGGAACTAAACTAGTTTTAGTAGCAAAAACTTTTTATTGAAAGGATTGTGGAAGAAAGGGTCAGGCTTTCCTGTCATTTCTAATCCTATGTATTATAAAATTTTACCATCTTTACCCATTGTTTGATTTTTAGTTTAATTAAGGTTATTATCTTAACAAAGATGTAGTCTCTTAAATATATTTTGACATTTAAGCTCAAATATGATTTTTACATCTTAAAAATGTGATATCTGTTGGTTTTACTATAATAATCATTAAAAATCTCATTATGCAATTGCATATTTAGGTAACTCATATTTTTTATAGTGACTAATAGGATAAATAGTCTTACACGTTTGAGTTCCCAAAAAGCAGACAAGAAGATAGAATTAGACATACAAGGAAGAGATACTAGGGAAAGGAAAGGTGGGGAGACTCTTTGGAATAAAATGCAGGTCTGGCTTCCACTGAAGGAGAGACAGAAGGTAGTGGTGTAATGATGTTAGGAAGACTCAGACTTCAGCACAGTTCCAAGAAAGTTTCAGCAGATCACTGGGTAGTCCTCAAGCTAAGATCATCTATTGAAGGAGCTCTTCATCTCACTAGATAACCCCCAAGTAACCCCATCATGCTCCATGACTGACTCAGAGAAACCCCCCCGAAGCTTAGCTTGATGCAAACTTTGTGGAAAATCCAGAAGGGTAGCAGCGAGTGTCTTCATATCTGCAGCAGGAGATAAGAGAAACATGTTTTCATGACTTACATTATACATAGATCTTTGTTCTCTTTTTGTTCTTGTGGGTCCAGATCCATAATGTTATTTTATAATTCTATAAAAAAGGATATAAATATTTTAAAGATACGGCATACGTATTTCCAAATTGTAAACATTATTAGGGGGCAGAGTATAATGTGATCATAAATACAAGGCTTAAATGCATGTTATTTTACACTTGTCATAATTGCATGGTAATGTTATTCATTTTAAACTGCATGAGTTTGAAAATCATAAAATTATATTCAGATTTGATTCCAAAGATGTTTTGTTTTTCTTTGTGGGGGACTACTACTTTGGCGTTATCTGGTGCACAGTAGAACCGGAAACCCAGTTATCAGCATTTGGGCCCAGAATTTTTATTCCTTTATGATACAGCATTTGCCTTTTCTTATTGCCTGACTAGGCTTAATGCCAGCCCTCTTTTGAAATTCCACTGGTCTCAGCCCCTCCCACTTGCTTGTTCACTCATTCAGCATTGTGCTAGGGTAGGGGTAGGTGAACATATGGAGGATCCCGCCTTTAGAGAATTAGAAACAACAGCAGCAGCAGGCCTGCTGGTGGGAAGCAGCATTTTGTTTGTTAAAGTCAACCCTCTTCCCACTGAAGCAGCCCCAGGCAGAGGGGCCATGCAGCCAAAAATGTCAGAAAACATGGAGTGTCCCAGACCTTCACCCAGATTGGCATTTCAGGCAGGAAGACAGCCTTTGCCTGGGGAATGTCACTGCCGAGTTTGATGATTCTTGGTAATTAATCAACAGCTTCAGTGAAGGTATCCGGCTGTATCAGGAAGAGTGAACACAGATAATACTTCAGATGAGTATAGAAGAAATTTAGAATGATTCTCAGCAAAGATGATAGCACACCGTCATCTTCTCTCCAGAGGAGCAAGGCCCTGCATCTACAAAGAAAATCAATATTCCTGCCATTGCTCTGTCACTAATTTTACATATAACCTTGGGCATAGGTGGGTCTCAGATGCCTCCTCTGTAAAATGAAGCAGGGGAAATGAGATCCCTAAGAATCCTTCCAGATTTAACATTCTGTGTGACCCTATTAACATCTCCCATCTCCAGGAGACTGAGGCAGCTTGCTTTCTTACTCACCTGAACTTGGGGTCATTTGAATTAATTTCTCTGTCTCTCTTCACCTATATCTCTTCACTCAGCTTTGCTAGAGTTGTGATTATTAAGGAGCTATCTGAAGCAACATCCGCGGGTAAGTATGTTTCACTCACTCCTCAAACACCACGCTTCTTTATGCTTTTTATCTTCAGGATGTGCCAATTGTCTGTCCAGAATGCTTTCCCCAAAACTCTTTTTTCCTCTGACTTATAGATTCCCACTTTACTTTTGAGGTAATCAAACAAAACTCCTGGAAACATTTCTTTTAAATCCATCTCCATTTACTGCCTCTCACACTCTTCCTCCGTGTTCTTACTTTAGTGTGTATTTATTTTATACTAATATTTATTCTCCTCTTTTGGAGGTTACTGTATTCTTTTCCTTTCTCTTCTCTTATTTATTTCAATTTAATTTTCTGACAGTTGAGATAAAACAATTCACTCAACTTATTCTAGCATATACGAAGTAGTGATTTTTGTTGTTTTTGGATGAATAAGCTTGGCTCTCATGACAAGAGAGAGTGTCAACTACTTAATGTAAATGAATTAAGCTGAGCAGTTTTTTTTGTGTATGCAAATCAATTCTCAAAATAATTCACTATGACTAATGCCTGCATTTCTATATCTGGGTTTTCAGGTGTAGCCAATAATAGAAGTCTAGATGAAATAAAGTAGTGAAGATTTTAGCTCATTTTGCTAGTGTTTTTTTGGTCTATCAAACAATTAAGGTTGAGCATTCCTTTTCTGTTTTTTAAATGAGAATTATTTCCTTCTGTCTATTGTTTTCCTTTAATAGTTACAGATATATTCAGACTTTCTTTTTATTTTAGAGTGAGTAATCATAAAAGTGAATAAAATATTTCTACAAAAACTGTATGTCTTTAAAATTTTTGGCAAAAAGTAGTTTTTAGAAATTAACAAAATTCCTCCCCTCATTTAGGGTCCCTTTTTATTCCTAATGTTAAACTTTGCTCTTTTTCTCTTTTGTAAATTATTTTTGCAGAAGATTTTCTATTTCTTAGTCTTTTGAAAAAAAAAATTTAGTTTAGTTGATTGTCTCCAATGTTTGTTTTCTATTTAATTCAATTTTATCTTTATTATTTCCTTTCTTTCTACATACTCTAGATTCACTCATTGGTTATTTACTTCTTTTTTCTGTTCTATGCTTTCTTCTTTTTCTTTTTCTTTTTCTTTTTTTTTTTTTTTTGAGACAGAGTATCATTCTGTCTCTCAGGCTGGAGTGCCATGACGCAAACTCAGCTCACTGCAACCTCCGCCTCCTGGATTCAAGCGATTCTGCTGCCTCAGCCTCCAGAGTAGCTGAGATTACAGGCACATGCCACCATGCCAGGCTCATTTTTTGTATTTTTAGTAGAGATGCGGTTTCACCACGTTGCCCAAGCTCGTCTCGAACTCCTGAGCTCAGGCACCGATCACCCGTCTTGGCCTCCCAAAGTGCTAGGATTCCAGGCTTGAGCCACTGCATCTGGCCTAGTTATTTCTTTAATAGAACTTCGAGCCCATGTCCTAGGCCTGTCCTTGCTTTTTGTCGCTTTCCTAAGCCCCACCCCATCCCATATGAGACATGGGAGAATCTGGGGATAAGCATTGGTGATTGATAAGAAAAACAGGGTTTTGTGAAGATAGTGTTGTTATAGCACTCTATGAAGCTCTTAGAGAGGGAGGGCAAACTACCATTCATTTACCAGCTAAGATTTTGTAGGTGTTTATACTGGATCTGGAGGACAGAGGTTATTTGACTTGCACAATACCAATTTTACAGATGGAAAAATTGAGTTTTAGAAGGCTAAAGAGATATTTATGAGTTCACAAGACTAGTATTAATGGTGCTGTGGTTCAAGCCACATAACATGAAAATATGCTGAATATGAAAACAAAATGGAAGCTAGATATGAGACAATATTTGCTATAAGAACAGAAGACAAGAAATAAGTCCAGAGATGGAGAAATACAGAGACTGTGTCCCAAGAAATGGGTGAAGCTAGAGGGTCTAGGATAATTGTCTTAAACAATTGGCTGTAATGTATAAAGCTCCATGAGGTGAGTAGATGGGTCAGTGCTAGGTTAGGGTCTTGCAGTATAGCTTGGTCACAGTGACACTGAATTACTAAATTGCTTTTCTTTACCAAAATTGACAGTTCACCAAATTGTGTTTGTAAGCTGCCTTTGGCTTCAACAATTTTTAAATGCCGGAGAGTTTGAAAAACAAACACAGGCGAATATGTACTCATAAGATTCTATTGTTCAGGCTAAATGTGAGATTAAGGGATGAGTTTTTCAATGGTGATCCTAAAACAGGTTCTCTGAATGATGTCATCCTAGAGCAGCAGAAATAACTTCCTCAGAACTTTCTGTGGTTCTAAACATGTGAGCCATATATAGCAACTAGAACAGATAGGTTTCTATATTCCACACATTGTATGAATGCACATACACTCGTGCACAAACACATACATTTTTTTTATCTGGTTCAGAAATTTATTCCCCGTATGCTCCATTCTTTGACTTCCTAATGGTTCATTTTATGATATGATATTGTTTCACACATGAATGAATTGAAAGACATAAGAAGCAATCTGTCTGCTGTGAATTCACTCCTAAAGCCCTTCTCATTTCTTAATGTCCATGCATTTGAGCCTCTACAACCAAGTGCCAAAAAGAATTCTTTTCTTTGCTTTGTATTTTTACTGGGTCTGCATTTCTACTTATCCCACCCTCAAAGAAAACATTTGGATTTCATTCAGAGTTCTGAAAGAATATTTGAATCGTAGATTTCCTTTGAACACTTGTGGCAAAAATGAAATAGTACTCATTCCCTAATGCTCCCATTACAGAACATTTGTGAAAAATTAATTAGAAAAAAATTAATATTGTATATGCTCCGCTTGTAGACCCAGATTCTTTTTGCAATTGATGTGATGTCATGTAAATGTGAAAAAGTCATGATTTTTCAGAATATAAGCAGAATGATATAAATATTCATTTGTTTATATTTATTTGTATTAATAAAAGGGCTTTTCCTCTTCTGCTTATAGGTCTCCGTGTTTTCCCTTATCAAAGCATTTAGTAATAGTATTCATTTATAAATAAATAAAATACATGCATTTCATTATAGGAATCCATTGATGGACAATCATATATGGTCCCTGCCCTCATGGAGCTTATAGTCTAATGTGAGATATATTGACTAGGCAACTGTAGGTAAGAATATAAAGAATATGCTATTTCACTATATAAACTGCAGCTTTAAGTAGTCTATGGCATCACTGAGGATTTCTAGAGAAAATGATCTCAAAACAGAGACCTGACCATAAATCAGATTCTTCCTAGCCTCTGTAAGAGAGGGAGTACAGACAACTTTAATTGTCTGCCCTTTAGGCAAGCACATTACCTACATGTCACTTCCATTAAAGATCATAATTTGTAAGAAAAAAGAAAATGGGACTGTGTCTCATGAGTTCCCTAATCCAGTACAATGAGAAAGCTGAGATCTACAGATTTTAAGATGACACATCTACCGTGTGGATTTTCTTTTTTTCATTAAACATAATTGTAAGAACAAGTTGCAATATTTTAGTATTCAGGAGAAGGATGAAATAAAGTGATTGTGGGAATGTAAGATAAGTCAGTGGAAACATTATTACTTACCTGTTACATGTACTGATCAATGGTTTCAAATAAAAAAAAATTAAAGTGTTACCAAAATTTTATTCCAGTACAAATGCATGATAAAAAGGCATATTCCAGAATTTGAGGGCAGGTTCAAAGAAGCATGGAAATGTATATGGCAGGAATGAGGGAGGCAACTAGCCAGGAAGAGTGCAGCAGGTATTGCCTTATAGGTGCTGAAGAAGTTTTACTTGCTGGCCTGTTTATTATTAAACTTCCTTAACTTGTCTTCAACAAATTCCATTGCCATCGTGTTGCTTTGGAAAAAGGGTTTCCTTAGATGTCTA
Organism: Homo sapiens; assembly: GCF_000001405.40. NCBI lineage: Eukaryota > Metazoa > Chordata > Mammalia > Primates > Hominidae > Homo > Homo sapiens. The sequence goes on from NC_000016.10 coordinate 60,685,816, forward strand.
GATAATGCTTTTACAAATCTCTAAGTAACCATGTAGAATGGATGGAATGTAATGAACTTAGAGATGGACATTCCAAGTTAGAGAAAGGTCCATTTCACAAAGAATAAACTATTGAGATTACTATAAAATTGTATAATTTGTATTAATATTCATTAACAGGGCATTAGCAGAATGAATGCCAAAAAGAATGATTGCAAGTAACTAGTATCCGACTGGACCAAGTTGAAAACATAATAAAATTTATAGGCTACCGTATCTAGGGAGAAGCTGGGAAATTTCATTGCATCAAAGAATAAGCTGAAGAAATGGGATCACCAGGAGCTGAAGTGAAGCACATGGTAGGAAAAGAATATCGCCCTCTTAATGAGATTCCACCACGTTAAAATATCAAGTTTCCAATTATCAGAACTGTCCACTGTCACCTGACCAAACCGCAAATGTCAGCCCCACTTATATCTTCAACAGAGCATAAGGACCCTAACTGCAACAAAGCTTACCGAAGTCCCCAGCAGTCCCAACAAGCCAGCACTCCCTTAACCCCTCCCTGATAGGAACATTTCTCAGAGCACACTTCCCTCACCGGGCCCCTTTTAAAAGCCTCAGGCTATAAGAGAAGTTTGATCCTGACCCTGCTGGCCAGAAGCCCTTCTCAAGTATATTCTCAATAAACCTGTCTCAACTGTAGAGTCACTTTCTCTTGTCTTCTTTCCTTAATCTTTCTATCTCAACAGCAAACATCTCAAAGATCTTTGTCTCTATCAATCTCTCATCATTGTCTATTTCTAGGTTCATTCTCCAAGAATAGCTCTGTCTCTGTGCCAGAGAAGATGTTGTTATCAGCTAGAGAGTTCCATCCTCCCACTTTAATAGTGCCAGCAAAAACAGAAAACAGTTTTTCCCAATCATGTAAATACTAGAGAAGGACCCAGATTGTGCTTACTGGGCCACATACCTGCTTATTAGCCCTATCACAAGTCCTAAGAAATAGGATAAAATCCACTGGTCAGGTGAGGTTGAAAGGTAAGGTTCAAAAGCATTCAAAGGAAGACTTTTCAGGAAAAAACAAAACAAAACAAAAAAAACCTACCGTGGTGCATTATAACAGGCATTATGAGGTACCTGCAATTAACTGATTTTTAAATTTTTTCCTCTTGTGTAACCAGGTTCATATGCTCTTGAAGGGTGGATGTGCAATTTATCCTGCAGGGGGAGCTCAAATAATCCTCTGACTCCCCTGATGTGCCTCAAGGATAGTAGGGGCACAGTGAATCTGGAATGAGGGAGGAGATAAAGTTTTGGAGAGTTTGGAAGAGCAAGCAAAGATTTTAAAAACCTATGTTCACAGTAGAGTGCTTTGTCTTTTGAGAATTCCTCTCTTATTTTTTAGCTTTGTCCTTCGGTTTTGATCTTTTATTTTCTCGTGAAAATCAGTGCACACGTATGTTTATTGTGGCACTATTCACAATAGCAAAGACTTGGAACCAACCCAAATGTCCAACAATGATAGACTGGATTAAGAAAATGTGGCGCATATACACCGTGGAATACTATGCAGCCACAAAAAATGATGAGTCCATGTCCTTTGTAGGGACATGCATGAAGCTGGAAACCATCATTCTCAGCAAACTATTGCAAGGACAAAAAACCAAACACCGCATGTTCTCACTCATAGGTGGGAATTGAACAATGAGAACGCATGGACACAGGAAGGGGAACATCACACACCGGGGCCTGTCGTGGGATGGGGGAAAGGGGGAGGGATAGCATTAGGAGATATACCTAATGCTAAAAGACGAGTTAATGGGTGCAGCACACCAACACGGCACATGTATACATATGTAACAAACCTGCACGTTGTGCACATGTACCCTAAAACTTAAAGTATAATAAAATAATAATAATAATAATAAAAGGAAATCAGTGCAAATGGTGGCAGACAGAATCTAGTTTCACTTATGAGATTGAATGAAAACCAATATGAGGTCCGAGACAAAACAGTCATAAGGGAGACTAAGTCTGACTTTATTCTAGACCAAGAGAATGTTCATAGTATATACAGAATCCAGACAAGTACATCAGGATAGGTGGTCCGACAGCAATGTGAGAATCAAATACCCTTCACCGATAAGATTATTTTGCCCATGGCCCCCTCCCTGGACACACATATCCTTCCAAAATATAATAGACATGGATATAATTGTTCATTTGTTCATAGATTTTAGCTACCTCTTTATCATTTCTGTTTGCATTGTTAATATTACTTAAAAATAGGAACTTATTAATATTTGTGTTTCCAGAAAATTTTCTAAATGTGGGCTAAGACCGAAGGCACCAACATGTAACAATTATTTCTCCTCATGGAAACTGTTGAGACTACTAAGTGGTACATATGAATTTGGGGGATCAGAATATCTGCTTGGAAGAGGCCAGGGCCCTAAAGTAAACTTAGTAACAATTGAATAACTCCTATTTAATCCTAATTTTTATTTTAGACTTACCTGCTTGCTCTGTGGAATGTATGTCACTAGACAGAATAGAGAAGAATGTCTCTTTCTCTCTGTCTTTTTAAAAACAGCTTTATGGATGTACCATTCACATATGATAAGTTCATCCACCTAGCGTATATAATTCAGTGTTTTCTAGCATATTCACAGATATGAGCAACTGTCACCAGAATCAATTTTAGAATATTTTTATCACTGCAAAATGAAATCTTGTTTCCTTTGTTATTTTTTTTCCTGAAGAAAATACTTTATTTCTCTTTTATACAGTTGGGAAACATATGAAAAGGTCACTCTCAGTGATTTTTATACTTTCATATGATTTCATGTTACTAATTAGCAACTTTTCATTTCAGGTTGAAGAACTCTGTTTACAATTTCTTGTCAAGCAGGTCTAGTGATGATTAACTCCTTCAGCTTTCGTTTGTCTGGGAAAATATCATTCTTTTATTTCTAAAGAACAACTTTGCAGGTAGAGTTTGCTTTATTGGTGGTTTTTCTTTTTCTTCTTCTTTTAGCATTTAAATATGTCATTCCACACTCCCCTGACCTGTAAGTATTCTGCCTAGAAATCTGCTGAAAACCTTAGACATTCCCTGGTATAAGACACATTTTTCTTCTTGCTGCTTTCAAAAGTCTCTTTTTGTCTTTGATTCTGAATAGTTTTATTATAATATGTCTTAGTTAAGTTCTATTTGGGTTTAATATTCATGGGAACATGAGTATCATGTACTGTGGTGTACCCATGGAGCTGAGATTTTGTGCATGGTTGTGCATGGAGTGACAGTGGCTCTGGGGTCAGGAGCACTGACTAGGCTGTAGTGGTGGTGGCTCCAGTTTCTGAGACAGGGTACACACAGAACAGTTGTAGAGCCAAGTCTGTAGCACGGGCATAAACAAAGCAGCTTTGGAGCTGGGGACTGAAATGGAGACATACTCAGAACCAAATCTGCTCTGGGGTTCAGGGCATGTGTGTGTTGTGGGTGGCAGCTCTGGTCCCGGTGTACCACAACAGCAACTCTTTTGGAGGGGAGTAACAGTAGCTCTCTCTGCAGGGGTCTATGGCAGCTATGGCTGTCCATTACCTCACTGGTGAAAGCTGCTAGTATCTTCTGTGAAATAAGCCATTAAAGTTGGAGCTGACAAATACATGGGATCCTCCACTTTAAAAGCTGTGGGAAAACCATGATGTCATGGATGCTTTTGAGGTCCTCAGCAGCAAAGGCTGCCAGGGTTATCCACAGAGCAGGTCTCTGGGAGCTGTGATGGCACCCACCACATGGCTGATACAGATCACCACCACCATTTTAATTTGTTCATAGCCATCTCCAGATCTCTCCACTAAGCGGATCTCCTGAGCAATCTATTTCTGTCTGATCATCCTCCCTTTTTTACTGTAGGTTCTTGATTGGACTCTTCAGCCCTCCTAGAGATATTTTCATTCATGGACAGCTGTCTAGTTGTTGATTTTTCTTGTCAGATGATGGTTGGTAACTTCTACTCTACCATCTTTTTGACTTCACATTGGAAATCTCATTTCCTTTAGCTATCACCCCTTGTTCCCCATCCACCCATGTCATAAGCAACCACTAATCTACTTTCTGTCTGTATAGATCTGTCTATTCTGGACATTCATATAAATGGAATTATACAATATATCATCTTTTATGAATGACTTCTTCCACTTGGTATAATGTTTTCAAGATTCATCCACATTGTAGCATGTATCAGGACTTGTCTTAATTTGTTTTCTGTTTTTTTTTTTTATAACAGAATACCTAAAACTGGGTAATTTATTGAAAAAAGGAATTTATTTCATACAGATATGGAGGCTGAGAAGTCCAAAGTCTAGAGGCCAAATCTGGTGAGAGCCTTCTTGCTGATGCGGACTCTATGCAAAGTCCTGAAGCAGTGCAAGGTACCATATGGCCAGGGGCCTGAATGTGCTAACATGCTAGCTCAGGTCTCTCCTCTTTTTATAACGCTATCAGTTCCACTCTCTTGGTAACCCATTAATCCATAAATGAATTAGCCCATTCATGTTGGCTCTACCTCTCACTTCTTAAAGATGCCACCTTTTAATACTACCACATTGGGGATTAAATTTCAACATGAGTTTTGAAGAAGACAAATTTTCAAACCGTATCAGTACTTCATTCTTTTCCTTTTTATGGCTAAATAGTACAAGATTATATGGCTAAACCAGATTTTGTTTATCCATTGATCTCTTGATGAACATTTTGGTTACTTCCACCTTTTGTATATTACAAACAATGTGGCATTAAGCATGTAATATTTATTATTAGTAATAAAGTTATTTGTAATTAAGTTACAAATTATTACTTATCCTTATTGATAAATTGGTTATTATTAATAGATAATAAACACATGTGCAAATTTTTACGTGGACATCAGCTTTCATTTCCTATGGGTATGTACTTATTAAAATTTCTAAGTCATATGATAACTTATATGTAATCATTTGAGAAGTGCAAGATTGTTTTTGAAAGTCGTTGGGTCATTTTACATTCACAGTAGCAATATATGATTTCTCGACATCCTCATGAACACTTGTTCCTATATGACTTTTTGATACTAGTCATCCTAGCTTTTCAGTGTCTTTAGTTTGCATTTCCCTGATAGTCAATGATATTGAGCATCTTTTTTGGTGTGCTTCTTAGCCATTTGAATATTTTCTTTGGAGAAATGTTTTTAGATCCTTTGGACACTTTCAAAAAATATGTTTTAGTTTATTTTTTATTTCTTAATATTTTTTAATTGTTAAAAGAAATAGAGATACGGTATTGCTGTGTTGCCCAGGTTGGTCTCAAACCCTTTGGCTCAAGGAATCCACCCACCTTGACTTCCCAAGTACTGGGATTACAGGTTTGAGCCACCACACCTGTCCCCTTTGCCCTCTTTTTCATTGAGTTATATATCTTCTTTATTACTCACTTTTAAGTGTTTGTCATATATTCTAGATACAAGCCCCTTTTCAGATCTACAATTTACAAATATTTTTTCCCATGTTTGTGGTTTTTCTTTTCAGTTTCTTTATAGTGTCTTTTGATGCATGAAATTTATTAATTTTGAGGGAGTCCAATTTAACTTTTTTAAATTATTGCTTATGTTCTTGGTGTTGTATGTAAGAGTTCACTGCAAAATATGGTTTTATAAGGATCTATGCCTAACTTATAAAAGTTTTATTGTTTATGCTCTAACATTTAGATCTTTGATACATTGGGGTCAGTTTTGTATGTAGTGTCCAACTTACTTTTGGCATGTGGCTATGCAGTTGACCCAGCACAATTTGTTGAAAAGACTATCTTTCCCCAATGAATTGTCAAGGGACTGTATAAAATTAGTTGATTTTATATATATATATATATATGTATATATATATATATATATGTATGTATGTGTATATATATGTTTATTTATGTAATCTTAATTTTATTTCATTTTTTCTATAGGTCTAGCCTTATGCCAGTACCACACTCTCTTGATTACTGTTGTGCTGTAGTAAATTTTGAAATTATAAATTTGTATTCCTCCAACTTTGTATTCTTTTTCAAGATTGTTATTGTTTTTTTCAATTCTTTTTCAAGACTTTATCAATTCTTTTTCAAGATTGTTATTTTTTTTCAAGATGATATGTTTATCTTTTTATCTCAAAGACAGTAAAATAAAGTTGACAAACTGAGAGTATGTGCCTATTATTTCCCCCCTAGGAAATTAATAAAGAGTTCAAAATAATCTTTCTTTTGTTTTATATAGTCATTTTGGGAACTTATCTAAAGGCTGCAAAAGCAACCCAGCCCACTCCTGAGCAATGCAAACTCTGGGACTCAAAATAATTTGGATAAATGTAACCCGTCTACCTTTATATGGAAGCTCAGAAAAAGTGTGGACAATATCTAAAAATTGCTTGCCATAGCACCTTATAAAGAACAAATTAATTTTGAGAAATTTGGTTGGCCTAATTTTTTTTTCCAGTAAGATATATACTCTATCAATAGCCTTAATATATTTCTATGGCACATAGTTTCCAGTATATGTTAGGTATTCATTAAGTTGTTGTTCTTAATTGCCTGAGACAGAGATTTAGGGGCAATAAGTGATAAAACATAGTATAAAAAGCAAATGAAAGTTATCCTCAGTTTTGGCAGATTTTAGAGCACAATATTGACAGATATTATAGTAAAGGGAGAAAATGGTGGCCTAAATGAAAATGGGATTGAAAGTCATGACAAATAAATGATGGGTGAAGAAAATAAAATATTAGCTTTTGTAGGTTAAGAATAACAGTCTTCAGTGTAAAAAAGACTAGGTGTTATTACTTGAACCCCCTTTTTTCAGACACTCATACCCCCTTTTGAGTCATTAGAGTGACTTAGAAATTGAGAATTAAAATATACGAACAGGCTGATCAGGTTCATATTAGACACAGAATAATTTTATTCTAGCCTCTTCCCTAAAGAAACAATGAAAGTCTTTATTATGCTCTAATAACCATGCCAACACTACATCTCAAAATAGTTGATTATATAACTAACACCAGTGGATTTTATTTTTATTATGTTTGACTTATTGACAGTCTAGGTAATTTATGTTGTTTATTTAATCCTGAAACATAAAACATAGCACTCTCTTACCTAAGTCTAACTGAATTTAATAATTGGCCACTATTATAATACATTTATATGACATAAATTACTGTAGATTAAACTTCTGGCATTACTGAGAATCCAAAGAAAACACTATATTAGATAAGTAGGTATCAAAGAAGGGCAATTGGTAAGAATAAAACTAGAAATTAATGTACAACAGAGAAATTAAACAAAATTAAGAAGAATATTTTAATGGATTATCTAAGAAATAATTTCTGAAAAAAGGCTCTAGGCTTAGAATGTTTTATTCATGAAATATTCAAACACTGAAGTCATTATCACAATGTGATATAAAATCTCTCTCACAAATTTATTATATATGTATATTTAAATATACATATGTAATAAATATGTAATATATAAAATTATTATATGTATTATAATAAAAATATACATACATAAATACACAGATTAATATAATATATAATTATATATAATTAATATGTAAATTATGTATGTTATATATAATTATATATTAATGTATAAGTGTATATAATTTATATATAATTATATATTTATATTTAATATATAATATTATCAATTATATATTATATATTTTATATACATTATATAAATTTATATTTAGGGAGAGAATATATAGAGAGAAGAGTGGCAGGCTGATTCCTGTGATGTGCTAATATTTGGAGGTCAGGTAAAGAAGAGATACTTGTAAAGAAGACTGAGTATTGACCAGAGATGATGAAGGAAACCCAACAGCAGGCAGACTTTTGTCAGCAAGGAAGACATTTTTGTCTGTTTTAAATGAGGCTATGAGATCAAGAACAGAGAGAATAATAATAAATGAATAAATTATTATATATAAAATTATTTTATTACATGAATGTAAACAGCATGAAAATAAAGCCATACAAATACCCTTAGAATTTTGATTATAGAGTTGTAAAAATATGAAATGAGACATCTGAAAATTTAATAAAATAATAATGTCAAAAATTAATCCTACTTAATTACAGAAAGTAAACTTCAGAACATAACACTATTTCAATATGAGTTAATGCATTAATCTACTATAACAAGTCAATAGAGCATTGGAGAAACAATGAGACAATTTTACTGAATAATAATATGTAATTTATAATGTCAGTTGTTATTCATCATAAATGATAATATCTTTTCTAATTCATTTTATATAATAATGAATAATAATAACATAACAGACAGATTAAAAAATACTATTCTGGTATTTCCCTGTTTGGGGATAAGTAACTTTCCTTTGATAATCTGATATTTTTAGAAACCCTTCTTCCTAGGAAGAAATCAAATGGAAACACAACAGAACTTCATCAAACCAGAAAGATAAAAGGACAAAGAAAAAGAAAGAAAAAAAAACTTATAAAGCAACTTGAAAATAATCAACCATATGATAGGAGCAAAGCCTCACAAATCAATGTTAAACATAAATGTAAATGGATTAAATTGCCCCCACTTAAAAGTTACATATTGGCAGAATGAATTAGGAAAAAGAAAAGAAAAAAAAAAAAAGAAACATGATCCCACTATATACTTCCTAAAAGAAACTCACCTTACCTGTAAAGACATACATAGATTGAAAACAAAGGGGTGGAAAAAGATATCCCATGTAAACAGAAACTAAAAGTGAGCATTCAATTGAACTCATGAACATAGAGAGTAGAAGGATAGTTACCAGAAGCTAAGAAGGGTAGTGCAGGGGTGAGAGGAAGGTGGCGGTAGAGATGGTTAATTGGTACAAAAAAAAAAAAAAAAAAAAGAATGAATAAGACCTACTGTATGGGAGCGCAACAGGGAAACTATAATCAATAATAACTTAAGTCTACACTTTTAAAATAACTAAGAGTATAGTTGGATTGTTTGTATAACAAATGATAAATTCTTGAGCAGATGAATACCCCATTCTCCATAATGTGATTACTACGCATTGCATGTCTGTATCAAAATATTTTATGTACCCCATAAATATATACACCTACTTTATACTCACAAAAAAAAATACAAATTAAAAATGAAAAAAAACAGTAAAAAGAGACAAATAAATATATAATGACAAAGGAATCAATTTGGTAAGAGAAGGTATGAATCCTACATATAAATGCAGCCAACATTGGAGCACCCAAATTCACAAAAGAAACATTGCTAGACCTAAAGAAAGAGATGGACAGAAATACCGTTTCCTGTTGAGTAGTCTACTCAATTACTTTGAATTGTGGTTTTGTACAGGAATTATATTATGTACTGGGAAACTGGGGTAATAGATATTCTAAAATATACTCCCAGGTAACATTCTTTAAAGCAATATTTTGTTGTTTTCAAATAAGTACCACTCCAGTAAATTAATCAGAAATAAGTTCAACTTAAAAAAATTCAATTTTTTCAAAATAATTTGTTTATGATGTAATGAAACATATTGACTATCAATGAATTATATAAATTATCTAAAAGTAATTCTGACAAAAACTGAGCAACAGAATGTGAGTGAAGTGTTGCAGGCCTAAACATGGAATAAAAGAAGAACATGTATAAATGGAGAGAATTTGAATCTTTCTGAAAAGAAATACCCAGAACCATTAACATTTTTATATTTTTGTATTAATTTATGGAAACTTTTCAAAATCTCCATGATTTTTGTAAAAATTAGCAAAAATGTTACCAAAAATAGAGTATTTTGAACAGAAACATTAAGGGTATTCTGAATAAGAACTTGAGAAAAGATTCCTTTTCTGTAAAAAACACACTAGAAAGTGAAAATAAAAGTTTGGACATAATGCTGAAACCTAATCAATGCAACCAAAACAAGTAGGTGTTAAAGCTTTTTTGGAAGACACAGAAATATTTATTTTTTTAAAATCGTGGGGAGAGAACTATCACCATCAATGGGAATATTGATATGTGATTGAACGAATAATCTGAAAAATTTCTACAACTTAGAGGAAACTTAGAAGATTAACTTATATTAGTCCTTCAAATTATACATCAACAGTACCTTGCTTGATTAAAAATTTGTATGTGAAAAAGATGGCATCCACGCAAGCATATAAATATAGAGAAGTACACACATTTGGGAACAATAATAGCCTTTGATAAAAGGAATGATGAAGTTCTTAAGAAACATTATACTTGGATAGAGGGATGAAATGCTAAAAATGTAATATTAGCAGAAAAATCACACACATGGAAAAATGCAAGCATAATGAGAAAGAAGTAATGCGGTAAATTGAAGCACTAGGGTGTATCACAAGGTCAGGAGGTCGAGACCATCCTGGCTAATACAGTGAAACACCGTCTCTACTAAAAATACAAAAATTAGCTGGGCGTGGTGGCACACACCTGTAATCCCAGCTACTGAGGGGGCTGAGGCAGGAGAATCACACACACACAAATATATACAAAAAACTCATCAGCAGATACATGTAATATTATATTTGTTATTGTGAATAGTCCACACATAGTTGTATCTTCACTGGCTATGTCTAGGCTTTGTGAATATAGATTTTTCTTCCCTACTCCTTATTTTTATTTCTGTTATAAATTTCCTATTGTTCCTATTGGTTTTAAACTTCAGGCCTGTGACTTTATGAGTGTCTAGTGTTTCCATGAATGAGCTTCACTGTCCCTAGAGACTTCTTGAAAATGAAGTTGTATAGAAAGACTTATTCAACATATACCTTCTCCTAACACAGCAGCACAATTTCTACTAGAATAGGAAAATAAAAAAGTTTATTTTCCAGTCATCTTCTTCTTCCTCTGTCCATTTAAATGAGCTTTACCTTTGAGTATGATTTTGAGTCATGTTTATAATGTGGAATTTACCATGTAGACAGGAGAAAGGAAGAGGCAAGAATAGAGAAGCAGGAAGAAATGCAAAGAGACAGTAAAAGATAAGTTCTGTGTAGGCTGGCAATTCAAGGAAAGAGACAGTGAATGCCCGCCTAAGCAAGTGACTGGCTTGGGCAATGCTGAGCTGAGAGATTATTTAAATGTAAATTAAAGAGTATATAATGGAGGCCGGGCACGGTGGCTCGCGCCTGTAATCCCAGCACTTTGAGAGGCCGAGGTGGGCGGATCATCTGAGGTCGGGAGTTCGGCCCAGCCTGACCAACGTGGAGAAACCCAATCTCTACTGAAAATACAAAATTAGCCCGGGCGTGGTGGCACATGCCTGTAATCCCAGCTACTCGGGAGGCTGAGGCAGGAGAATCGCTTGAACCCAGGAGGCGGAGTTTGTGGTGAGTCGAGATCACATCATTGCACTCCAACCTGGGCAACAAGAACGAAACTCCATCCTCTCCCCGCCCCAAAAGAAAAGAAAAGAAAAGAAAAGAAAAGAGAGTATATAATGGAATGTTTCTGATATAAATGTGATCCCCTTAATATTCTTTAACAGATATGAGGTGTATTTGGAATTTTTCTATTATTATTTTTATTTTCTGGACTCTACTTTTTTATGTAATACCACGCTGTGCCAGATTAGAAAGCATGTGAACTGGAATTTACTGGGGATACAAGTATTTATCTGATAGAAAGGTCTATATAGGTTTTATTAGGCTTTCAAAAATATTTCTTGGTATGGTGGTACGTGCCTATAGTCCTAGCTACTTAGGAAACTGAGGTGGGGGGATTGTTTGGGCCCAGGTGTTTGATTCCAGTTTGGATAGCATAGTGGTACCCTGTCTCCACCAAAAACAACAACAACAAAAAACAAGTAATACAAGTGCTGTTAGTTTGAAAGTGATGATCTCATGTACCTCCATTGCATTTATGATCAGAGGGAAACACTACTATGTAGAATAAATTTCCAGAGGCATTTTCTTAGTGTTGATCACCCCATCTATCTTTTTGCTTTTAGAATTTTATTAGGACGGTAATGCAGTCTTAGAGTTTTATCTTCAACTGCATCTAATGCCTTCTATATTAATTGAATCAGGGTCCCAGAACAAAAAAAGGTAATACATTTAAAAGGGAAAATTAAAGATAGTTTAACAAAACAACTACTTAGGAAACTGTCATTCAGGGTAAGGAAATGAACAAAGTATGGAGAGTCAAACTTGGTTTAGAAATAACAAGAAGTTATTGCCATTCCTAGGTCTTAGGTGTAAGCAGATGACATTATTGAAATCTTGAGAGAGTTTTAATTATGGGAGATAGACTTTAAAGAAGGAATGTGGCCTTGAATAATCACATACACACTCTCAAACCTAGATCCAGCATGGAGGGGATCAACAATATAAATGCCATGTCTCTAACTCCTCTCACTCTCTAAGCTCCAGCCAGTACCTCCCCCATTGGATGGACCCAGTGGGAACTACAGAGGGTAAGGAGTCCTCTTTGACACAATTCATGTCAGTCAGCTCTGTGATGCACTAGGGATGATGACAAATAACAGAGAGCTAATCTTGAGGAACATACAATGAATATCAAACACAATTGAAACTCTTAGTGAATTCAAAATCTCTACATATAAAGCTGACATCATGATACTACACATTCCAAATTACATACAGTATAAGAGTGACTCAATTACAAAGGCAATGATGGAGGCTTGTGCCAGTGTAAAACTAGCAGCTTCTTTTCCCTTACAAAAATATGTGGTAAAAAAAAAATAAGAAAAAATGGGGAAAGGCCGGGCGCGGTGGCTCACGCCTGTAATCCCAGCACTTTGGGAGGCCGAGGCGGGTGGATCATGAGGTCAGGAGATCGAGACCATCCTGGCTAACAAGGTGAAACCCCGTCTCTACTAAAAATACAAAAAATTAGCCGGGCGCGGTGGCGGGCGCCTGTAGTCCCAGCTACTGGGGAGGCTGAGGCAGGAGAATGGCGTGAACCCGGGAAGCGGAGCTTGCAGTGAGCCGAGATTGCGCCACTGCAGTCCGCAGTCCAGTCCAGCCTGGGCGACAGAGCGAGACTCCGTCTCAAAAAAAAAAAAAAAAAAAAAGAAAAAGAAAAAATGGGGAAAAAAGTAGCTTTTACTTTTGGAATCTGAAAATTGTAGATGCATTGTTATCTACTCCAAATAGGAGTGCTTGAGCTCTGGAAAATCAAAGGACAATCTTTGTCTTTTCATTATTTTTATTTATTTTTTTAAAGAAATGTCTACCATCTTCCCAGTTGACTGCATCTACTTGAAAGATGTGCTTCTGGAATAAGCTAGAATGTGTTCTAATTCCAGGTCTCCTCTTACCCAAGGAACACTAATTCTTAACTAATTCATCTTCTATTAAAAAAAATCCTCCATTGTAAAGGAAGAATATTGATATGAGACTCAACAATAGTTTTTGAAGATTATATAAGACAATTTATAAAAGATACATATCATTATACCTGCCATGATACTGATAAAATATTAGTTTGAGGCACAACACATTCATCCAGCAAACTTCTCTATCTTTCCAAAGTGCTTGTCGCCTTCTTCCATTTGTGAGAGACTAAGAATATTCTCTGGCTTGTGATTGAGTCAAAAAGTCTTTCAGACATGAAAATATTTAATTAAAATTGAGAATGTTTGCAAACCTGTGTGTATAGTCCCATGTGTATAAGAGTGGATGGTAAGGGGAGTGGTCGGTATTGAGGAAAGGAAACAAAGAAACAGAGATACATAAAGTTTTCACCATGCTTTAAAAGTTGAATACATAGAGCAAAGAAGTTTGACTACTAAATGATGAAGTTCTGACCTTTCACAACTGGTAGTATAATTCAAATACAACATGGTACCTGATTACGAAGACTGGAACAGTCGTTGGGGCCATACCCAAGCCACCCATGGAGGACACCGAATTGACAGCATGTGGATAAACAAGGAATGTTTTTTATTTAGCTGAGTGCCTGAAGTCTGAAATACAGTAAAAAAAAAAAAAAAAAAAAAAAAAAATTAAGAATTCCCATGGATTCGGTCTCTGATTTAGGAACATATTTCTGACAGAGGCCATCATCACCAACCATTGCATGGTTGACTTTACATCTGCCTTGACAATTTTTCTGTCACTTAAATTAGAGAAATTTAGGATACATGCAAAAATAGTTGCTCTTGATTCGCTAAAAGTACTCTTGTGTGCCTAGAGGGACCTTCTGAAATGTCTGTTTACGATGTACTACTCCAAGCATAAGAAGTTTTCAAATGCAGAGGTGACCAGCCATAAAAACTATGCATGTTAATAATTCAAAAGATATATCTGTAAAAACTGTTCTTTCTTTACCTCTCACACCCTTGCTATGTATGCTTCCAGATTATCGTAATACAACATATTGTTATACAATAATATGATAATAATTACCTGATGAATTTTCTATGTATAAAAAAGAACGGAGGTAAATTCCACTTAATGAAAAGCATATCTCTTCATGCAGGGTCGAAGAGATTAAATGACAGGCCCTTGATGAAGTACCTGGCATATAACAGATAAGTAATTAATAATAGTTATCTCTGAAATGTTCTATCGCTCACCACATCCATGGATTCTGCAGCAACACTGTCACCTTTGCAGTCCTTCATTTTCTCTAACACAAAAGAAAGGTAATAGGTCCTGTTTCACAGTGATACTGAAGAATTTGATTGAAAAGACATCAAGTGCCTAGTATAGAGCCTTGCCTATAGTAGTACTCAATATATTTTTTAATTTCTCAATTTGACATAATGCTGACTCTTTAAATAAGAGTAACAATGAGAAATTAGTATACAGAAAATATATATAGATATTGCTTCCAGTTATAAACACTAATCTAGAATACTTGATTCAGAAAGTGTTGCTTGTCAACCACCATTTATTTAAGAAGCCATAAATTCCTATTAAAGCTAATTTAAAACTGACAGTGTTTCTATTCCTGGAAAAATAAGCTCAAGCATCATTGTGGTGATACTGAGGGTATGCATTTGTATTTACATACTATAGATAACTGTAATTTTTGTCACTAAGTTACTAACATTTAAACAGATTCCCGAAGCAGCCAGGCACTTAGTAGTAGCCACAACATCAGCCATTTACAATTGTTCAGAAAATAGCACAAATTGAAACTGTTCAAATCATTCATGGGTTGTGTTAAACACCATTTCTTACACACGTGCACCTTGGAGGTACACTGGTTTTGTGTAAAATAATAATTTTAAGACAAAATAACATACTTTAACGGGAAATATTGGTCACAATATTATACAAAGCAGATTTCTATATCAAAAACAACTATGAAAGCATATCTTTTAATACACTGTAACAGGTTCAGTTGTTGTATTAAGTGTCCCTTGAATACGTTTGCATGCATATTAAAAGTGGTCATATAAGGCCTTGTATTTTAGATGAAACATTTTATTTAGAAGAGAGAAGCTGGGCACAGTGGTGTGTGTGCACCTGTATCGTCCTGGCCACTCGAGAGGCTGAGGCAAAGGAATCCCCAAAGCCTTGGAGTTTGGGGCTGTATTGGGCTGTGATCACACCTGTGAATAGCTACTGTGCTCCAACCTGGGCAACACAGGGAGATCCCACCTCTAAAATAAATAAAAATAAAGACATAAAACAGAGGATTGTGGTCCTGTGCCTGGAAATTATTTAAACCAAAATATACTTAATATAATAAATTTTCACCTCCTTGATATGTAAAGTGGATCAACTTAACAAACCAGTGGCTTCCAAACTGCATTTCCCTTTTTCAAGAGAAAACTAATCTTTAATTTTGAGATTATACATTAAAAAGAAACATTTCTCTACCACCATTAACCCTCCACCACTTCTGAGGCAACTTCACAGAGCAGTTAAATAGAACTTGGTAGAGAGGCAGAATCTGGATCAAAACTAAACTAAGCTAAACACAAAGTATTAGATTAGGGGACAAAATATATGTAAATATAATCTGCTAAGTAACATGCTAATAACATATTTGCTCCATAGTTTTGATGATATTGCCATAGACACATGAGATCAGAACATCTCTCTGAAGGGGAGGGATATCTGACAGATATTTTACATTTGAAAGGGTAATGGACTAAATTTTGCAAAGGGATGTTACCTTGACCATAGCTAAGTCTCAGGCCTTCCACATTGATGGCTCAAAAACTCCATTTTTACCTTTTATTTTGTGAGGCAATATGGTTTGTTCTCAGGAATGCTGCTTTTTGTAGAAGGGCTCAACAAAACCTATGTACAAATGAAAAATTTAAAGCCTATGGTTCTAAGTATCAAGAGAAGTGACTTTCCACATTTACCCCCAAAGCATAATAATCAGATTGGGTGAAAACCAGCTTCTCAGAATGTTCCTTAAACAGTTTATTACCTAGGCCAAATGTGCAGCCAAGTCAGTGCCTTTAATATGGTGCTTCTGTCCCTTTAATGCAGATTTAACACTAATGCTGGGCAAACTTGTTCTTTAGTCACTCCCCAGGAGAGCCTTTGAATGGACACTGCCCCACCTACTCCTCTATGCTATTTTATTTCCAAGACTCCAACAACCCTGTTTTGATTGGCACATTTGTTAATCGGACAAGAGACAGGAGTGAGAGTGTTTTTTTACTTAGCTGTTTAATAAATGCCTCATTTCTGTGATGTAAGAACTTAGGCCTTTAGAACTGAGTAGAGAAGACGGTGAACTGAAGTCAAATCAGATCTTTCTTGTGGGGTGGGGGGCAAAGCGGTGTAATGGAAAATCATAGACTTATGACTCAGATTATCTAGGTACTATTCCCTATTCCTCGTGTATTAGCTCTGTGACTTTGAGTAATTCATGAATACCTTGGAGCCTCAATTCTCTCAACTGTATCTACGTCACGTAATAATCATACATGGAAAATGCTGGGACTAGGCCGGTGCTCCATATAAACCATGGCTCTTCTTTCTCTTTTGCCCTTATGACACAATAAAACTGGGATAACTCACATTTGTATTTTGAGAATTGCATGATTTTCTTGCAAAGCAGACCATCAAAGAATGCAAATAGCATTATGTCTCAAAAGCCTAGAGAAAACCGAGTGATTATTTTCTTTCTCCTTAAACCTTTGCCATATCACAACACTAGTGGATTTCTAGGTTACCGATACTTTTGTTACAGGGATCTGCTTTTTCAAAACATATCCTTCTGTGCCTATATGTAATTTTTGCTTTTTCTCCACTTTTTTACCTTTCTTTCCCTGGGATAAAGACGTTCAAACTTCACTCTTCTCCCACAGTTTTAAAAGCTACTTCCAATAGTCGTCTTGACAGAAAATTAAAGTTAAATATTAGCTGAGTCCCTTATTTATTCATTAAACTTAAATTCAGTGTCTTCATGCCTGAGTCAATCTTTAATTATGATGATGACTTTCATTATTTACAAATCATGGCTGATGTATGTTTTGTTTAGTCTATAACTAGCATGTCTTATGGTTTACAGCTGACACAGTGAGGAGGGAATACAGAAAGCTCCTTTTGCATTATCATTATGTATAACAATGGGCTCAAAGGTGTTAAAAATTATAAATACTAAAAGGAGAAAAAAAGAAGTGCTTTCAGAAAGTTTAAACACGAAGCAAGGAAGTATAAGAAATATGGATTAAACATAGATCTGAACAACTCCTCAAATTTTATCTTTTCAACAATACCAACTTAGTACAATCAGGGCAGAAAAAATCCTAACAACTAGAAGAGCATGAAACTGCACTTCTTAGAGTTATTATACAATTAACATCTTTTCATATGTAGTTTCTATATAGAAAGAAATGTAATAGGAAAATTATTTTAAAGTTTCTTCCAAGTGATTAAAAATATCAAGTACATTAGGAATCATCTTAATTTATTTTTGTTTTCATTCCAGAATTTCTCAGCAAACTTTGTTCATATTAAGCCTAAGGTAAATTGTAGAACAATCACTATCAACATTATCCAACTCTCTTAATAGATGGAGAGCAAAGTATTAAAGTTATATGTGTTATAGGCCAAATTAAGAGCATCATTCTTCTACAATGGCTATAGGGTGAATTCTCTGATATTAATTTCATAATTAAAAATACAGATGTTCTTACCGAATCCCAGTGTTTTAGAGAGTAGCCAAAGTCCTATCCATTTCTTATTCAGTTCTTCAAATCACACCACTCCCACTCCATTCCATAGTTATCTGCTGTTCTTATCCTGTGACCATTATCACTATCTACGTTATACCCTAGACATTTTTATGATATCAAATGTATCTCTCTTGATAGGCTCTGAGCATATGGAGGGAAGGACCAAGTTTTATTAATTTTTATATCACTTGCAATAGTCATTATCAGACAAGTACCAATGAGATACATTAAAAAATCAAGAACTATGGAATATATTTTAAATCAAATTAATACATTTGTGATTAAATCCATTTATGTCACTCATGTGGACTTACACAAGCTGTTTCAGAGCCATTATTTTCAAAGAGAAGTCAGGGTTTATTGGAAACATATCCATTGTGTACACTAAATAAGTTACTTAAACTTGTTAAGACTCAGTTGTCTCATCTGCAAAATGGATATGAGGGTACTTTCTCTCTCTTAAGATGATCATGGCCATTGATAAGATAACATAACTAAATTTCTTAGCAAGTTTTTTCTAGAAATTATCAACTACTTGAATAAGTTTAAGATATTTTCCCAACATTACAAATGTCATTTCCTTCCCTCCACTTTCAGTCCACTTCCTCAGTACCTGTATGCTGAACTTATCAAGGAGGAAGACTAGAACACCAAGTCAAAAAACTACAGAGATAATCTTCCAGAAGAACAGTTAGCTAAACTGGAGGGGAGGAACTGAATTGAATAACTGCCCAATGTTATTAAATGACAAAAAAAATACTCATGTGGAATCATCTCTTCAACACAGAAAAAAAGACATTATGGATCTTTAGAAATGAAGCAAAAGAAGCCACGGTAAAAATTTTAACAATTAGGAGTCATTAGCTAAACAAATCCTGACAGCTGAACAGTCACACAGACACCTAACACAGGCTTGACTTGTGAGGCTCCCTTAATAGGCCCCTCTGCATTTTCTGCAAACATTCCATTTTGTTACTTTTCTATGGATCCTAATATGTCATTCCCTATTCTCTCTGTCAGCCACATGTGTTTAAAAAGCACAACTAAGACTTCCCTTCATCAGTGATCAGAAGAGAAATTCTCTTCTGCATCTCACTGTATTAATCTCCTTGGAAAAAAAGAGGGACATTGTTGGGGAAAATGAATCAATTGATTCCTTTAAGCTTTCAAAATGAAAAGAGTCTTTATTAGGTTTTGTCATTTTCTCTCAAATACTAAAACAGCAGGTAGGTCTCATTTCATCAACTCTGAGACTGAAAAGTTATGGATTATGCCATACATAATTTATACTACTTAAGGAAAACATGAAGTGATAGAAGCACATTTTTTTTTAATTATTATTGTACTTCAAGTTTTAGGGTACATGTGCACAACGTGTAGGTTTGTTACATATGTATACATGTGCCATGTTGGTGTGCTGCACCCATTAACTCGTCATTTAGCATTAGGTATATCTCCCAATGCTATTCCTCCCCCCTCCTCCCACCCCACAACAGGCCCTGGTGTGTGATGTTCCCCTTCCTGTGTCCATGTGTTCTCATTGTTCAATTCCCACCTATGAGTGAGAATATGCAGTGTTTGGTTTTTTGTCCTTGCGATAGTTTGCTGAGAACGATGGTTTCCAGCTTCATCCATGTCCCTACAAAGGACATGAACTCATCATTTTTTATGGCTGCATAGTATTCCATGGTGTATATGTGCCACATTTTCTTAATCCAGTCTATCATTGTTGGATATATGGGTTGGTTCCAGGTCTTTGCTATTGTGAATAGTGCCACAATAAACATACGTGTGCATGTGTCTTTATAGCAGCATGATTTATAATCCTTTGGGTATATACCCAGTAATGGGATGGCTGGGTCAAATGGTATTTCTAGTTCTAGGTCCCTGAGGAATGGCCACACCGACTTCCACAATGGTTGAACTAGTTTCCAGTCCCACCAACAGTGTAAAATTGTTCCTATTTCTCCACATCCTCTCCAGCACCTGTTGTTTCCTGACTTTTTAATGATCACCATTCTAACTGGTGTGAGATGGTATCTCATTGTGGTTTTGATTTGCATTTCTCTGATGGCCAGTGATGATGAGCATTATTTCATGTGTCTGTTGGCTGCATAAATGTCTTCTTTTGAGAAGTGTCTGTTCATGTCCTTCACCCACTTTTTGATGGGGTTGTTCATTTTTTTCTTGTAAATTTGTTGGAGTTCATTGTAGATTCTGGATATTAGCCCTTTGTCAGATGAGTAGGTTGCAAAAATTTTCTCCCATTCTGTAGGTTGCCTGTTCACTCTGATGGTGGTTTCCTTTGCTGTGCAGAAGCTCTTTAGTTTAATTAGATCCCATTTGTCAATTTTGGCTTTTGTTGCCATTGCTTTTGGTGTTTTAGACATGAAGTCCTTGCCCATGCCTATGTCCTGAGTGGTATTGCCTAGGTTTTCTTCTAGGGTTTTTATGGTTTTAGGTCTAACATTGAAGTCTTTAATCCATCTTGAATTAATTTTTGTATAAGGTGTAAGGAAGGGATCCAGTTTCAGCTTTCTACATATGGCTAGCCAGTTTCCCCAGCACCATTTATTAAATAGGGAATCCTTTCCCCATTGCTTGTTTTTCTTAGGTTTGTCAAAGATCAGATAGGTGTAAATACGCGGCATTATTTCTGAGGGCCCTGTTCTGTTCCATTGGTCTATATCTCTGTTTTGGTACCAGTACCATGCTATTTTGGTTACTGGTTACTGTAGCCTTGTAGTATAGTTTGAAGTCAGGTAGCATGATGCCTCCAGCTTTGTTCTTTTGGCTTAGGATTGACTTGGTGATGCAGGCTCTTTTTTGGTTCCATATGAACTTTAAAGTAGTTTTTTCCAATTCTGTGAAGAAAGTCATTGGTAGCTTGATGGGGATGGCATTGAATCTGTAAATTACCTTGGGCAGTATGGCCATTTTCACAATATTGATTCTTCCTACCCATGAGCATGGAATGTTCTTCCATTTGTTTGTATCCTCTTTTATTTCATTGTGCAGTGGTTTGTAGTTCTCCTTGAAGAAGTCCTTCACATTCCTTGTAAGTTGGATTCCTAAGTATTTTATTCTCTTTGAAGCAATTGTGAATGGGAGTTCACTCATGATTTGGCTCTCTGTTTGTCTGTTATTCATGTATAAGAATGCTTGTGATTTTTGCACATTGATTTTGTATCCTGAGACTTTGCTGAACTTGCTTATCAGCTTAAGGAGATTTTGGGCTGAAATGATGGGGTTTTCTAGATATACAATCATGTCATCTGCAAACAGGGACCATTTGACTTCCTCTTTTCCTAATTGAATGCCCTTGATTTCCTTCTCCTGCCTGATTGCCCTGGCCAGAACTTCCAACACTATGTTGAATAGGAGTGGTGAGAGAGTGCATCCCTGTCTTGTGCCAGTTTTCAAAGGGAATGCTTCCAGTTTTTGTCCATTCAGTATGATATTGGCTGTGGGTTTGTCATAGATAGCTCTTATTATTTTGAGATACGTCCCATCAATACCTAATTTATTGAGAGTTTTTAGCATGAAGGGTTGTTGAATTTTGTCAAAGGCCTTTTCTGCATCTATGGAGATAATCATGTGGTTTTTGTCTTTGGTTCTGTTTACATGCTGGATTACGTTTATTGATTTTCATATGTTGAACCAGCCTTGCATCCCAGGGATGAAGCCCACTTGATCATGGTCGATAAGCTTTTTGATGTGCTGCTGGATTCGGTTTGCCAGTATTTTATTGAGGATTTTTGCATCAATGTTCATCAAGGATATTGGTCTAAAATTCTCTTTCTTTGTTGTGTCTCTGCCAGGCTTTGGTATCAGGATGATGCTGGCCTCAAAAAATGAGTTAGGGAGGATTCCCTCTTTTTCTATTCATTGGAATAGTTTCAGAAGGAATGATACGAGCTCCTCCTTGTACCTCTGGTAGAATTCGGCTGTGAATCCATCTAATCCTGGACTTTTTTTGGTTGGTAAGCTATTAATTATTGCCTCAATTTCAGAGCCTGTTATTGGTCTATTCAGAGATTCAACTTCTTCCTTTTTTAGTCTTGGGAGAGTGTATGTGTCGAGGAATTTATCCATTTCTTCTAGATTTTCTAGTTTATTTGCGTAGAGGTGTTTATAGTATTCTCTGATGGTAGTTTGTATTTCTGTGGGATCAGTGGTGATATCCCCTTTGTCATTTTTTGTTGCATCTATTTAATTCTTCTCTCTTTTCTTCTTTATTAGTCTTGCTCGTGGTCTATCAATTTTGTTGATCTTTTCAAAAAACCAGCTCCGGAAAGATCTAAAATTGACACCCTAACATCACAATTAAAATAACTAGAGAAGCAAGAGCAAACACATTCAAAAGCTAGCAGAAGGCAAGAAATAACTAAGATCAGAGCAGAACTGAAGGAAATAGAGACACAAAAAAACCTTTCAAAAATCAGTGAATCCAGAAGCACATTTTGAGGAGCACCTACCAAATGCTAGTCATTATAGGATTCAATTCACATATATCTCTTGTAATCCTACAAAGACGCAAAGAGGTAGCCAATAACCTTATTTTCCAATCAAGGAAACTAAGGTCAGAAGATTGAAAATAAATGAATATAAAAGCCCCTTATGGAAACAGAACATGGAGGAGTGGAGCTGGAGAGAGAAATACATTCCATTTATTTACGTTCTAACTGGGAAAATATTGTTGTTAATAGTTTATGTTATATTCATAGCTCAAATTCATTTCAAGACAGAATATTTTTCTTAACAACAAACAGAAAAAAATGGAATTTTTAGGTGTATTTTTTTATTGAGTTACTTCAATTTCCCCCAAGAAGCACATTTCAAATTTTTAAGAACAATAAGGTAAGAAAACCATAATTTTTAACATAGAGAAATGCATTTTATATAGGACTTGCCAAGCACATATGAAAATCAAAACAGTTATTATGAGAATGCTTACAGTAAAATGGGCAGTCTTACCCTGACAGTAAAACAAAAATTGGGGTAACTTTATCAGAAAATAATGTCACAAAATAATTGAAACTCTTAAATGTCTTTATAATCCTTAACTACTACTCTTACTTCTGGATATACATCCTGAAAAGTAAATAAACAAGAAAATTTAAAAAACCCAAAAAGTTAAAATATCCACATTAACACACATATTGTTTAGCTTTATTCAAAATACAGAACACTTGAAAATGGTATCTATGATTAAAAGGAGGGGAATAGACACGTAACTTATGGCATGCTGATACAAATAAATACTATGCAAGGATTAAATTCATCTTTGCATACTATTGTAATATTACAGGAACGTACTTGCTTTTTATCACATGAAAAGATATATACAGCTGACCCTTGAACAATACAAGTGTTAGGAGTGCTGACTCTCCATGCAGTCAAAAATTTGTGTATAACTTTTGATTCCCCCAAAACTTAACTACTAGTAGTCTAATGCTGACTGCAAGCTTTACAATTAGTCCATTAACACATGTTGTATATTATGTGTATTATATATTATATTCTTACAATAAACTAAGCTGGAGAAAAGAAAATGTTAAGAAAACCATAAGAAAGAGAAAACGTTTTACTATTCACTTAGTGGAAGTGGACACAATAAAGGTTTTCATCCTTGTCATCTTCATGCTGAAGAGGAAAAAGAGGAGGAGTTGGTCTTGCAGTCTTACATGTGTCAGAGGGGGAAGAGGTGGAGGAAGTGGAAGGGGAGGCAGGAGAGACAGGCACACTCGGTGTAATTTATTGAAAAAATACTGCTTTTAAGTGGACCCACGCAATTCAGACCTGTGTTGTTCAAGGGTCCACTGTACTTACATATCTAGCATGAGCTCAGAATTACATACAGATTAAAACATGATTAAATTACATACAAATTAAGGCATGAAAGAAGTATACCAAAAATGTTAATTTTTATCAATGATTATAACTGATGTTATGGATACTCTATTTTCTATGTTCCAAATATTTTCTGGGTGCACATCAGTGTTTAAAATTGATAAAAATAAGTCTTATTGGTGCGATGGCTCATGCTTGTAATCCCAGCACTTTGGAAGGCAAAGGCAGGTGGATCAAGAGGTCAGGAGTTCGAGATCAGCCTGGCCAACACAGTGAAACCCTGTCTCTACTAAAAATACAAAAATTAGCTGGGTGTGGTGGTGAGCGCTTGTAATCCCAGCTACTCGGGAGGCTGAGGCAGGAGAATCGCTTGAACCTGGGAGGTGGAGCTTGCAGTGAGCCAAGATTGTGCCATTGTACTCCAGCCTGAGTGACATAGCTAGACTCTGTCTCAGAAAAAAAAAAGTCTCATTAAAATTAAATTGAAGATGAGCCTTAGTGTTTGGAATGCTTTTATTTAGGGGCATTTACGTTTATATTAAAACCTAAAAGAAACTAGTCACCACCACCCCACAAAATGTTGCAAGATGTCATCTGAATAGCATGAATTACTCCTCCACAAAACTAGATGTTTCATTATTATTTGAGAAAACTCATCTTTCAACCTTCTACAATATGGGCTATCATTCATATCGAACTTAATTAGAAAACAGTTTGGAAGTTGGAGGAATTCCTAATTTAAAACAATTAAAGGGGAAGTTGTCAGGTTCACTTTTGGTTTGCTTATCTATCTCTCATAGCAGCACTGAAGAGACCTGTCTTCCCCAATCTCACTGTCTTCCCCTAGGATTATGTCATAGTGTGTAGTGTGAACATCTAGGAACCCATGGTGGCAATTAGCATCTGAGACTCCTGCCACAGCTACTAGAACGGTGACAAATGAAGGCATCCCAGGATTCTATGTTGTAAACGCTTTGATGGGTGCTTTCCTTCCAAGTGACATATCTCCTTGGTGGGGCAAGTCAATCTCGTACTTTACCGTTATTTCCATTCTGTATTGAGAGCTCCTCTTCTTTCCTTCCCTCCTTCCTGCTCTGAGTCCTACTGTGTCACAGTTAATGTAGTTATCAAATGGAAAAAGCATGTCAGATAGTGACTATTTAAGGAGCACATTGCTTTCGCTGAGAAGATCATTACAGGTCCTTTGCTTCTCCATTGCTAAAATAAGGTTCCCTGCCTTATCTATTGCCTACCAATATCTGGGCTGGTTTTATATGCATGTTCCTTCTCTCCTAAACTTATATATAACTACTTTGTGAAGAAATTTTATCTATTTTATGCATTCTAAAGTCATCATTATCTGCCAAGCAACAGGGACAATATATATTTTATATACAGATCATATGTATATATATTTTCCAAACCCCAATTTAGGGCACATAATTCATTTCTATATCTGCCTTATGTCTTAGGCTGTAGCTCATGATAAGGACCACGTTTTAACCATCCCCAGCACAGAGATTCCACTCAATTTATGTCTAAGAATGAAAGAAGGAGGGAATTAATGAAAAATAACATATATTTTGTAATACTTCTAAATACAAAGGCAGTAAAAGGCTTCAGAGTCATAGAATTTCTGAAATCTTTCAATAGCTCAAGAAAATAATACAGGATATCTGTAACTGGACATAGCTTGAAAGTCCAGAATATAGTCTGTTTACATGTATAGCAGATCAATAGAAAATTTTAGACTACAGACTACAAAATTAGACTATATTATGATCATGCATTTATGGTACCTAAGGGAAAATCTTAGACTAGAGCTTAGAAGACTCAATTCATAATTTCTGTCTCTATAGCCAAAGTTGAAGTAAGTGTCAAGATCATTACCCAAATAATTAGAGAGATTTTTTTTTTTTCCTCAAATAACTTTTTCTGCGTAGCTTTTGTCTCCTATCAGATTGTAGACTCCTTAAGGTCAGAAATTCCACACCTCATTGAGTTTCCAGAATCACCTCCCCTGAACTGTGTCCTTAGTAGATATACATTGGATTGATTATTGTTTACTGGCACCTATAGGATGAGCAGCTTACAGAGATCTCACTTCTTTTGCTTTGTGTTGGTTTCTTCAAGTGCCTCAGTTCCAGTTGATCAAGATGCCTTATAAAGCGCCAATCCAGTGTGGATGAGCCCAGGGTGGTGAGGGGGCTCTAATAAAATAAAAGGGATAGAAGGCATGCCTTAACTGTTTTCAACTTTCTTATGCTTTAGAATCATCTCATGCACTTTTAAAATATCTTAAAAGTTTTCTTTCAAAATAAAGATTTAAAAGTTTTCTTTCAAAATAAAGATTTTTAAAGTTTTCTTTTAAAATTTCTAGGCTCACCCCCAGATATTCTGATTCAATGTTCCTGGATTAGAGCCCAGAAATACTCGTTTCAAACAGGCATCAACTGTCATTTATATATAGGCGTTTCATGGACCACACACTGAGAAAATGCCACTTATTTGTGTTACTGCCGTAAGGAATATCACTTCTTGCTCTCCTCCTGCCCCTACTAATAGCTCTGATCTTTACTCTTTCCCTCTAGAGGGATATAAAGAAGGCAAGGTGTGATCTTGTTCAGGCAATCTTGATAAAACAACAAAATAAGACTATCAATGTGCAGCTTTAATCCTAGCTCCAAAGAAATTTTGTGAAAGTTATTTTTCCATTTTCTTTCATTTGACACACTCCTCCGATCACGTAACAATCCGTGTCTTATTATAAACATTCAATCATCATCTAAAGAAGCAAAATGATGATAAATTTTACTGTTTTTCTTTAATGTCCCCTCTCAAGTTATGCTTTTCTTGTGGACTTTTGGCATGTTTAAATTCTGTTCCAGCAATGAGCCCTGTAAGAGTCCGGAGGTAGGGAGCCTCTCAATATTAGGGCACTGAGTGTTAGAAATCACATGTAGCAAATGGGGAAAAAGTTAAAAAACCAAACCAAAACAAAACAAAAGAAAAAAAACTATGTTCAAAATATTTAGGCCGGGCACGGTGGCTTACACCTATATTCCCAGCACTTTGGGAGGTGAGGGAGGGAGGGTCACTTGAGGCCAGGAGTTTGAGACTAGCTTGGCCAACATAGTGAAACCCCGTCTCTACTACAAATACAAAAATCGGCCAGGCGTTGTGGTGGGCGACTGTAATCCCCCCTACTGGGGAGCCTGTCACGAGAATCGCTTGATCCCAGGAGGCAGAGGTTGCAGTGGGCCGAGATTGCACTACTCCAGCCTGGGCAACAGAGCAAGACTATCTCAAAAAAAAAGAAAAAAAAAATCTCATTAAAGACATCCTCACAGAAACATTCAGAATAATTTTTGACCACATTATCTGGGCACAGCAGCTGAGCCAAGTTGACAAATTAAAAAAAAAAAAGGATAAAAAATAATTCAGGTTGGGAGTGTGGCTCACACTTGTAATCCTAATGCTTGGGGAAGGTAGTTTGAGGCCAGGAGTTCAAGATCAGCCTGGGCAACATAGTGAGACTCTTATCTTTTAAAAAAAAAAAAATTAACCAGGCACGGTGGTGTGTCTGTAGTCCTGCGTGCTCTGGTGGCTGAGACAGGAGGATTGCTTGAGCCCAGGAGTTTGAGGTTACAGTGAGCTATGGTGGCACCACTGCAGTCCAGCTTGGGCAACAGAGCCAGACCCTCTCTCTGTAAAAAAGGAACAATATTCACAGCAATTATATATCTGTAAATGTGCAAATACATTTTTTGAAGAACACGCTCTGACCTACCCAGGGAAGGGCATTAGGACTGGTGGGCGATTAAGTGACCTCTATTATTATAATAGCTTTTTGTTAGTGTCATTTAAAAATTATTTTAAGTTGTTTTTTGTTTTTTACAGTTAGCACATTTTCAAGTACAGCTTGAATATATATTTTTAAACTGGCCAGAATATTAATACATTTAAAGGTACTTCATCTATCTATATCCTAATAGTAACAGGAAATTATAACAAGAAATGTTCCTATCATAAAAACTCTATTGAGATATAGAAAGCCTGATTGTGGCAAAAGATTCAAGGTGTATGTTAGGCAGAGTTCACTTCGGTTATGATGAAACATCTCCATTTATGCCTCCCTCAAGAATTTATCTACAGAAAGTGTCCTGGGAATATTTTTGGAAGAAGCTGTTCTTTTTTTTCATGTCTCACTTGAAAGAAAATGGGATAGCTCTTATCTAAAGTACAGCATTATGTATGGATGTCTTAGTAAGTTGTCAGGAAGTAAATCACCTTGACAAAGGTAATGGTGCACGCACACACACATACATACATGCGTATATGCATACATGGGCATATAACCGCATCTATGTTTCTTTGCAGTGGGGTGCTCTTCGTTGGTTGACAATTTACCTAGGATATGGCAACTGGCACCAAAGGAGTAGGATATAAATATTATGATCATTGTAGCATAACAGAGAGAGGAAAAGGAAGTACAGAGTGTGGTGTTCTGGTTAAATAGTGGGTCTAAACCTTGGCTGCACATGATTATTGACCAGGAAGCTTTTTAAAAGACACAGTGAAACCCCACCCTTATATATCCTGATTTAATGTTTGAGATGGAGCTCAGGCAAAATTATTTTTAACAGCTCCCTTGCTTACTCGAATGTACAAGCAGGATTAAAGAAATTACTAGATTAGAATGAAAGAGTCTATAGAAGTGAGTGGCAACGAATATTGGTAAAGCAAACATGGGTAGCAATCAATTGATTAACGTTTGAAAATTAAAGGAAAGACAAAGAATCTTTGCTTGGCCAAACTTTAGTCAGTTCCTGGATCTTCTTTTAGGCCCATCTGTGCACTTTCTTGTAAAATTCAGTTTTATCAAAAGAACCCTACTAATTCAGCTTTGCTGGAGTCCTCCATCTTTGACTACCGATCATCCTTGATGGCCGATCAGGTTCTTCATCCTCTGCCATCCTTCCAGTGAGGTCTGATCACATTGACCTGTCTTCAGCAAGAATCCTGTTAGGTTTTAGTCAGAATCCTGTTTACCTCTCATGTTTCCTTTTAGCAATTTTCCATACAATGACCCCACCCTGCTCCTTTGCTATAAATTCTCACTTGTTTGTTCTGTATGCAGAGTTGAGCCCAATCTGTAATGCTCACTGCAAGACCCCATTGCAATGATACCTATGCCTACTGTGATAGTCCTGAGTACAGTCCTTCTTACTGTGCTTTAATAAATATCAGTGAGTAATTTTTCTGTAACAGAATATTTTGATAATTTGTGAGATCAAGCATGAGTAATACTGGAAAGGGCTTCAAAGCATTAAAATAGAAAAATCATAGGTCACAACAAAGAAGCACAATACTTTGGACACACTGAAAAGAAAGAAGACCATACCAGAATAGAGGCAATTTATAAATTCAGGATCTGAGCACTACATTTTCAACTACGCTGGCTACTGGTTCTTCTCATTTTCTTATTGAGATAGAACTAGATAAACATTTTTGGAATTTGCTGCACACCCCATACAGTCTCTTATCTATATTCACAGTTCAGTTAAAATGTAAAATACTCATGGATCCCATTAAGCATGTGGACACATTTGATCTCAACAAATGTTTTCAGTTATATTTGGAATAGACGACTTTGTAAGAAAACCTGTCCTAAATTCTGACATTATTGAATATACATTTTATTTGTCACCATTAAGGATCTCTTCAATATAATAGTCAAATCCTCTGCTTTCAAGAACTTACAGTATATGTGAGGGCAGTTAAGCAGAATAGAAAGAGTCGTGTTTTGGAGGTATTTTTACACAGTGATGAGTACTATTGACTACATGAAGCAATGTCATTCTGGAAAGTACTGGGAGTGGGGTGATGCTGGGGTCTCTGGGCAGGGTGAGGGAAAATATGTGAATTGAGGCCCAAATGACTCCAACAAAAATCTGTGATAAAGGGTGTTTCAGGGGATAAATATAATAGCTCTGGGCAGAAATTGAGTTATTAACATCAATGAGGTCAAAGTGATTTACCTGAAAAGTGACCAAGTGGCCAAGTAAGTGCTCATCATTTCATGTATTAAATAGGCTCAGTGCCATTCCCGAGAACTTTTTTCTTTAACTAAGAACTACCCACATTTAGATGTCCCACCTAGCCTCCTACTCCTGGCTAAATATATACATATTAATACAAACTTAGACTAAATTATTTGTTACTCATAAACTGACATTTCCACAGGATGCTGGCTTGATAATCACATCTATAAATAGTTGATCTAAAGGATCCCAACCTCAATATTGACAGCACAGTCTCACGTTTCTTAGGCAAGTATTACCCTTTCAAAATCTGTGTTTACAGTACTTTTTCCTTCTGTTTTGCTCTGACCATCCTGGGCCCATCTGTTTCCTTCTTTCTCCATTTCTTTGTTTGCTCATTGAAAAAGTTAGAGTAAAGATTCACTCTCTGCATATGTCAAAGTTTATGCATATGTACCAAAATTGTAATGACCTTGTTACTGCTTTAGGTTTTGAAATGACCAGGCATTTAGAAATGTATGTAACTATTAAATAAATAAATAAATAAATGTTTGCTAGACCCAAGGAGCTACTATAATACAACTTGAATAATTTCGTGTATTGCTAAATAAGGAGCAAAAACATTTTAAAATTTTGGTTTATCATCTTTGTAAAATATCAGCACTTTTTTCTAGGGATTTTGATGTTTAAATCTTTTTTTTTTTTTTTTTTTGCTCATTTGCTGACTTGTTTTTAACTTTAATCATTTTCAAAATCATTCTTGACACCAACGTGAGCCTTTTAGATTAGTTGTTTTTTGGCTATGTTTAGTTACAAATCAAAATTTTGTTAACATATTTGCTACAGAATAGCCCAATAAATCAAATCATCTTTTGGCTCAGAGGATTATACCTTTAGGAGCAAGATGAGAGTTTTTTCAGAAGGATAATGATGACTTCATCTGGAAAAGTTCAATACTTTCATTCTGGAATTGTATTAACTATTGTAACTAAGTTAACTACCTTATTCATTCAACCTGTTTTTTAAATGAACAACTATCTATCAGGTACTATGCTCACCATGTGGGTAATGAAATAATCTGTACACTAAATCCCCATGACATGCAATTTATTTATATAACAAACCTGCACATGTACTTTTGAACCTAATATGAAAGTTAAAAAAAAAAACTTTAAACACACTGAGAGTGTAGATACATGCATGTGTGGGAGGTACT
This sequence comes from Homo sapiens, assembly GCF_000001405.40. Taxonomy (NCBI): domain Eukaryota; kingdom Metazoa; phylum Chordata; class Mammalia; order Primates; family Hominidae; genus Homo; species Homo sapiens. The sequence goes on from NC_000016.10 coordinate 60,717,111, forward strand.
GGTAAATGACTTATGGTCAAAACAAAATAAATAAAATACAAATTGTTTTCTTCCTTTATGTATCATATGCTTGAGGAGGTTTTTTGGGGGTTTTTTTGTTTGTTTTTGTGGAAGTTACGTGTAATAAATTTTAAGCTCTTTAAAATAGCCAGCTTCTTGGTTCAGAAAATATGCCTTTATCCTTTGCAATTCTACCTTAAAATATATCCAGAAAGAAAAAGGAACAGTTAATTTATTTTTCTGAAGAAGTAACAGTTGCTACAAATCCTAAGGATCTCATTCAGTTTTCTTATTACCTGAAGATAATTTTCAAAAGTATGTCTAATAGTTATCCTTAATAAAGCCCCAAACCTGTATTTATTAAAACCTCTACCAAAGTCACTTTGAATTATTTTTATAATACTATTATTTATTAAATGTTAATCTTGATATCTAGACTATATTTTTAGTGATTTTTATATATTTATTTTGAAAAAATCTGTATTTAGTTCAAGGGATAAAACGATATTAGACTTTTTCTTAAGTGGGACAATGATGGCTAACATAGGAGACTTGGATGTACAGACTTTGTATTTTGAACCTAGAAGAGAAACTGGCACATAATTGACACTCAATAAAAGGGTTGGAAGGAAGGACGAATATAGAATTCTCCTACTGTCATTTGCGACCCGAGTTAGCTTTTTTCTTTATCCCAAGATATGCAAACCTGAAGTTTAATATATGTCTCTATATGATAAGGCTCTATCATCCAATTTGTTTGATATATTTTACTGGAATAGCCATTTTTGCAATATATGTGATATTAGATAATACTATCTCCTTTAGAAAAGGAGAGACTAAAAAGGCTTTTCTATCTATTTTCTGTAGCTAGTCGTAAGAAAGTAGCAGTTAATTTGATTTCATTCTTGATAAGAAGCAGTGAATATGATCTCTGGCAATTATGAGAAAGAGATAGTGCACATCAGGTGATTTCACAAATAAGCAATTGCTTCTGAATTCAAAAACCAAAATAGATTAGCTTCAGTTTTAACGTTGAGCACATAGCTGCATTTTAAAAGTTCAGAGAGTCAACACAGTTACATGTTTATTGAAGTCATAGTCCTTTTTTTCTTGGATAATGAAACTAGACTAGGCATATTATGAAAATAGACTTTTCATAAAGATTCCAAAAGATTTAAATGACAAATGTATAACCAATTAAAAAATTGAGTTGTGTTTCTAAAGTAATAGAATCAATAACAAGAAAAACTTAAAATATAGATAATAAACTTTTGTTTCATTCCTTAATCAAGGAATGCTGTCTGTACAGTTTAATGAGCCTTTTATTTTATCAGAAAAAATTATAACAGTAAGTAGAATTTAGGCTGGGTCTACAGAATTCCATTCATGTGTATGTTTGATGAAAAAGGCTGACTCACACATTAGGGAAGTATGAAATTAAGGGAAACGTAAAGAACTTTATTTTCTGCCCCAATTATTTATTTTGTGTCCATTTATTGTATCAGAATAGACTCATGAATTTCTAATTTATTCAATAGATTGTTATATAATATAATCATTATTATTTTGATATTGAAGATGTCCCAGAGTGGGAGTCATATCGATTGGTTTCTGTGTCTTTTCTGATGAAGATTGAAAAATCTTCATCATCTTTCATTGTCTATCTCTAACTTATAACTTAAGTGAAATTACATGATGTCATGCATAGCACCAATCCTCACTATGCTATAATTCCATTGCCCCACTACTGGCCTTTGTAATACCGTTGTCATACATTTAACCTTGTATACTGTAAACCTCATAATATATTGTAATTACTTTTTTTATTTTACACAACTCTTAAAGAAATTAAAAAGAAAAGTACTTTATAATTATTCACATATTTATAATTTCTGACCCCAAGTTGCTTTGTGTAGATCTACATTTTCATTAAGTATTATTTTTTCTGCCTGAAGTACTTTTTTCTAACATTTTTGTAGTACAAGTCTGATGGTGAATTATTGTGGCTTTATATACCTAAAAAAGTCTTTATTTTTCTTCATTTTTGAAAACTCACTTTACCATGTACTGAATTATCAGTTAACAGTGTTTTTTTGTTTTATTTTGTGTGTTTTTCTTTTGTTTTTGAGAAAGAGTCTCGCTCTTGTCACCCAGGCTGCAGTGCAATGGCTCCATCTTGGCTCACTGCAATCTCCTCCTCCAGGGTTCAAGCAATTCTCCTGCCTCAGCTTCCTGAGTAGCTGGGATTGCAGGCACCCGCCACCACACCTAGCTAATTTTTGTATTTTTAGTAGACACAGGATTTCACCATGTTGGCCAGGCTAGTCTCGAATTCCTGACCTCAAGTGATCAGCCTGCCTCAGCCTCCCAAAGTGCTGGGATTACAGCCATGAGCCACAGCACTCGGCCTAATTTTTTTTTTTTTAGTAAACTTGTTGCTCCCCTATCTTGTGACATGCATTGTTTTTGATGAGAAATTTGTCTTTCTTATCTTTATTTGTTGAAAATGTCATGTTCTTCATTTGTTTTTTAAATTAATTCCCTTCATTACTGGTTTTAAGTAATTTGTTTATGATGTGCTTTGGCATTGTTTTCTTCATATTTCCTGTGCTTGGGCTTTGTTGAGCTTCTTGAATCTGTGAGGTTAAAATTTTCATCACTTTGGGAAACGTTTCAGCCATTATTTCCTCAAATATATTTTTCTGTTGCTTCATATGCCTGGTTATTTTCCTTCAGAAACTCCCATTATACATCTATTGGTCCACTTGAAGTTGGTATACAGCCTATTGATGATCTGTTCATTTTTCTTTCCCAGTGGTTTTGCTCTCTGGGTTTCACTTTGGATAGATTTCATTGCTATGTCTTCAGGTTCACCAATTTTTTTCTTCTGCTGCATCTCCTCTGCTGTCAATCAAAATCTCAGATGTCATCTCAGACAATGTAGTTTTCACATCTAAAAGTTCAATTTGGAACTTTCTGCATCATCCGTGTTTCTAATTAACATGTTTAATATTTCCCCTTGGACATAGAGAAATGTAATAATAACAGTAGTATGTCCTCATCTAGTATTCTGTTATCTCAATATGTTTCTTTTGATTTGTTTTTCTCCTCCTTATGGGTTTTATTTTCCTTTTCTTTGCTTGCCTTGCAATTTTTGATGATATGCCATACGTTGTGAATTTTAACATTTTTGGCACTGGATATGATCATATTTCAATAAATATTCTTGAGCTTTCTTTAGAAACAGAGATAAGCCACATGGAAAGATACAGATTCTTTTACAACTGTTATTAAGGTATGTCACATAACATTAGAGTAGAATAATCTACATCTAATTTTGCCCACTGAGGCATTAGTTTTCTGAATTCTGTATCTGATATCCTGTGAATGGTGAGGTTTTTTATTTCTGGTTGTATGTTTATTTCCCTTCCCTCAAGTAGTTTCTCTCATATGTGTGTTTGTCAGTAATGAGAAAAAATGGAGATTTGAGGGAATGCTCTCCTGATCTCCAGAACTTTCTCTCTACAGAATTCTTCCCTAGAGTACGTTGACCTGCAAACTCTTCCCATCTTCTCCTCCCTGTTTTAAATGCCTCCTATTTACCTCACTGGTGAGGGAAAAATTTCTACCCAACAGTTATGAAGCTAGCCAAGCACATGTAATTGAACAGAGGACAGATCAGATGGACAACAGTTTATTAGCCATATGTACATTCAGCCTGGGGAGGAGACTATCTCACGTAACACAGGGCCACATGGGAGTTGCACTTGGAAATAGAGTGAACAACTTTAGGCTGTGAGAGGCAGGGTTTGTATTACTAAGAAGGCGTGGTGACTCCTGGTTCCTGTGGAAGAATATGATTGGCTTGTTGGAATAATCCCGTGGCCCGTCAGGGAACTGAACCCTGCTATTCAGACCTAAGCAGCACCTGTTTCTTGTTCCCTTGTTAAGAGGGCTCATTGGCTAGGGGAGCTTATTAGTGGGAGCAGAATTAGGAGAAAAACTTTTGGTTAGGTTATTCAAGGTCCCCCTGGGTTCATATGATACACAGGAAGCATATAATATTGTATCTAAATTTTAGATCTTACACCACACTTTCCAGACCCCTAGGAGAGGCTAGGCTCTAACTGGGTTCTCCCTCCCAGCACTGCAGTCTATAAAAACTCACCAGACCATAATCTGGGGGCAATTATAGGGTTTAATTCTCTCAGGCACCACTATCTTGTACAGTCAAATGTGCAAGATCATAAAAATGTTATTTCATATATTTTGTCTGTTTGTTGTGGTTGTTTCTAGTGAAATGATAAATCTGGCACCTATAACTCCATCCTCATTTTAGCTTACATTTTAGAGGACTTTGACAGGATACTCATGATAGCCTGAGGTTTCACGGAATGTTTATTACTATTAACTGAATAATGAGTATTTGACCATCAAAATGAGCATTTCGCCAGGATTACTTTTCATTTCTCTAGAGTCCTAAAACTAGTGTGGGCAGAGGAAATATAAAGGTAAAGAAAAATACGTTGAATATTGAAAAAAGGGAAACAGTTAACTATATTCCAGTAAACAGAACAGTGTCCTTAACTTTAGCATTCTCCTGACTTTCTTCCCCTATACTTGACTCTGGAGGCTCATAGTTTTCAAATAGAAGAGACTTTTAGGGATTGGATTTTGAATAAGTTATTGAAACTCTCTGAATCTCAATGCCTCCATCTAAAAAATAATTAAGTATAACAACTTCATCAGTACTTGTTGAAGAGACACATGGTAAAATCTCACGTAGGTACCCTACACATGGTTTAGTGCACTATAAGTGCTCAATAAACATCATTTCCTCTGAGCCATTTTGATCAATTTTTTTTATTTTTTTGAGACGGAGTTTCTCTTTTGTTACCCAGGCTGGAGTGCAATGGCGCCATCTCAGCTCACTGTAACCTCCACCTGCCAAGTTCAAGTGATTCTCCTGCCTCAGCCTCCCGAGTACCTGGGATTACAGGCGCCCGCCACCACACCTGGCTAAGTTTTGTATTTTCAGTAGAGAAGAGGTTTAATTATGTTGGCCGGGCTGGTCTCGAGCTCCTGACCTCAGGTGATCCACCCACCTCGGCCTCCCAAAGTGCTGGGATTGCAGGCATAAGCCACTGGACCCAGCCTTGATCAATTTTCAAGAAGTTTCCTGTCTCAAAGTTTCTCCATCTCCTTTTGTACAAACATAAGTTATTTTACCAACTAGCTGGTTTCGATTTTGTTTTTGCCGTTTTCCCTTTTTGTATCCTCACTCTGGGAGGCTATAAACCATGCTGTGTCCATAAGTAAATAAAAAAAGTCCTCAGCTTCCCCCAACAAAGAATATTTTTTGGCAAACACACTGTACTTACACGAGGTGTCATGATTTCAAAGCCTCTCCAAGGAGTCCAGCAAACATATCTAAGAAAAGGTAATGGAATGATTAAGAGTTCTTTTCAAGGCAGCAAGACCATTCTTCCAAAAGAAAGTCAGGCTGTGTAAAGAGTCACTTGCTTATCCTACAAGACCTTTAGAAGCAGAAAAAAAAAAATACATGCAGACAAAGATTAAGGTATTGTTAGCTCAAAGAAGGAGTTTACTTGAGAGCTATGAATTATTTTAATAACTTTGCTGTAGTAAATATATAAGAAAATTGTACTCCTTCTGATTATGCTCAATCCATATGACGGTCAATTTTGTTAAGAAGTATGTATTGAATAAAAAATCATTTTCAATATATTGTACGTTAATGTTTTAAAATAAAGATGCTATGAATTATATAGGTAAGAACTCATTTGCATTGGTATTTCAATCCTTCAAGGACTGGTTCTGTGGCCTTGAGAGAATTATCTAATATCTCTGAACCAGCTTCCATCTCTGCTAATTATGAATACTTCATAGGTTTTTTTTCTGATGGTCAAATAAATAAACATAAATAAAGGATCAGCTCTGGTCCATAACTCATAAAAACCCTCAATGAATGGTGGCTGTGCTGCTGCTACCACGACTACTAGTAAGCCATTAACTATTACTACATTTATCATTAAATGTCTGTTTTCAAACAATGGACATTTTTAGATTCTTCCAATGCTTGCCAAAGGCAGATCTTCTAAAATCAAAACAAGGAAACAGAAATAAATGAAATATTACAGGCATGCTGATAGAAACTCAAAAATACAATCTATCATGAAAGACAACATGGCAGTTAAAGTAGAAACAATTATTGCTCCCATAAAAGAGCAGAAAAATAGAAAGAATGAAATAGCATTCTACCATTTTAGCACCTTTTTCACTTGTATATTCACTCATTTATTCAACAAATACTTACTAAACTTGCATAATATTCCAGTCACTGGTCTGGATGCTAGGGACAAAGAAATTAACAAAACTGATAAGAAATTTCTTACAGATTGAATTTTAGCAAACAGAGCTAAAGAATGAATATCATATCATGGCATGTCCTATTCTATCCTAACTTATTCTAGCCTATATCTCAGAGGATGATATATTTACTATGGAGAAAAATAAGAAAGAAAAGAGAAAGAAGAAGTATAAGGGATTTCAATTTTAAATAAAATCACAAGGGAAAGACTCAGTAAGAAAATATAAATAAAGACTTGGAGAAATTGGGACTTTCACCTTACTGGATAACTGAAGAGAGGATATTCAAGGCAGAAGAAAACCAAAACATCAGCCCTGATGTAGAAATGTGCCTGGGTGGTTGATAGAACAGTAGAATACCGATATAGTTAGAGTGGAGTGAGCAAGAGGTCAGTCCTATGATTTGAGGCCAGAGAATTAATGAGGGCAGAGAGCTCAAATCATGTAGGACCACGTAGATTATTCTATGCACTGTGGCTTTTTTTTCTTTTGTCTCAAAGAAATAGGATTACTCTAGCTTCTGTGCTGAGCACAAATTAAAAGAAAAAGGGAGAAGTAGGGAGATAAATTAGGAAGTGAGGAGTGCTTGGCTTCAAGATATTTGTAATGACCGCATTGGTTAAATTTGCTGAGTAATTGGATATTGGGTGTAAGAGAAAGAGAGAAGTCAAGGATAACTCAAGGTTTTGGCCTGAGCAACCGGTAGGTTGGAATTTCCAGGTAGAGGGATAGAACAAGCAATGCAAGAGCAGATGGAGGGGGTTGGAAGATGATGAAATCAGGAGTTCAGTTTTAGATATATTAATTTGGAGATTATTATTGGACAAGCCCAAGAGTCATGGACATATTTGGATACAAGTCTGGAATTTATGCAGAAATGCAGGCTAGAAATGATATTTGGGGTCATCGACACATAGCATATTTTTTCCCATATACCTTCCTTTCTTTTTCTGAAGTTGTGCAGAATTTATATATCATTAGTGTATCATTACATTAAAATGACTTTAATATTGCCTCATAATATTTAATAGAGGCAGCAGAAGGCATCTGGAAGATCTAGGTATAAATGGTTGGTTTTACTAGATATCTTTTTGACATTTTTGAGCTTGAACATGATAGTTTACCTTGGTGAACCTCAAGCTCTTGGTTTATTGTAAGAGATACTAATAACGATTTTCTAAAATTTTTGTGAGAATCACATATTACAATACTATTCTTCCTAATTTTAATTTCTAACTGTTGATTGACAAAGGATGTGCAATGATGTATTAAGTGCTTCATATACAACATCAAGTTTAATCCTTACTCAAAAAATAGAAATAGGTGGAATTATCCCAGTAAGAATATTGAGCAAGATTGAATACTGTGCTCATGTGAATATAGCTAGCAAGTAATAGAATCAAAGGTATCTATTATGTCATTGCTTTTGTTTTGCTTTATTTTGCTTCTATATTTGCTCATATAAATATGAGTCTAAAGTGCCAGAAATGGAACAGGCACACAGTGATTGATCACTATATTCATTTATTACACATGTTAGAGGGTCAAGCATCACCATTAAAGAAACATCTAACTGATTTTCTATGAGTCAAACAAAATTATCATTCTAATGAATAATATATGTATTTTGCAATATTTTAGTTAAGCCACACTTACAAATTTACATCCATAGGTAAATTTCAGGTACTCGATCTATGGGATGGTTCAAGATGCCCAACACCTTACTCAGTGAGTTGTTCTGAGATCAATGAAGAGTGGATTCATGGAGCCTCTGTCATTCACCCAAGGTGTCTACTTCTCCAATATTCTATGAAAGATCCTCTGGTACACTATACTATTTCCTTCCAGTGCCTGCCTTTGAGGAAGATCTATCCCAGATATCTAAGAGCAACCTCAAATTCATGTGCTAGAGGAAACCAGCCCATTAAGTGCCAAACACAGTTGAACAATATGGGTAGTAAAATCATAACTCTTTAAATGGTTACTTACTGTTACAAGCAAGTCAAATAGAAGAAACTCTCATTTTTTATAAATAACTAAAATACTATCTATTCCTGGTGGTTTTTAAAAAGCCTTACTGTTATATATGTTTCCCTTTCCTTATATAGCAGATAAATTTTCAGACTAAGAATCTGTGCCCAGAGTAGTCATGTACATGGCAGGAGCACAAGGGTCTGGCATGAATTTGTGCTTTCATCATCCTACACATGAGTCTGATTTATGTGGGTAGTTTCTCAGAGATTTAAGTGTTCTCATATGTAAATGGGAAAGGGGACCTTGGTCTTTTAGAATTTATATGATGACCAAAGCATGTACATTATAAGGCATAGATAACATTGTAAGTGATAATATCAGTGACACTTAATAATTTTAAAACCCAATAATTGTTGTGTACCTACGGACTAAACAGGTGTTCAAAGTATTTATGCAGGCTAGCTAAAATAATCCTTGCAAAGGCCCTTGAAGGTAAGTATTATAATTATATTTATTTTGGAGATAAACAAAATAGGAACTGAGGTATAAGAGGTTAAGTATCTTGCTCAAAGAAGTATAGCTAGAGCTTGAACTCCTGCCTTTCTAATTTAAGGTCCTTGCTCTTAAATGTAGTTCTTTAGAGCAATACTGCCCAATAGAACTAACTTTAATGAATAAAATATTCTATATGTGCTCTGCCAATATGGTAGCCACTAGCTACATGTGGCTACCAAGCATTTGAAATATGATGAGAAAGATAGAAGAACTAAATTTTTAAATTTATGTGAGGTTAATGATGATTTAAATTAAATAGCCATCTGTAGCTACTGGCTACCATATCAGACAGTGCAGTTCTAGAATAAAGATCTGTTAAACTGTGATATGCTCCAGGGCTTGTATTATGTCTCATTTGGCTTTGTGTTGGAGATAATACAAACCTTGGCACATAGGTGCACAATAAATGTTTTCAGCAGCCAATGGAGAGATACACTGATGAATTGTACACTTAACTGGCTTGTGTTTGTTCCATCACAGTTTTCTTTTTCCATACCTTCAGTGTATTATAAGTTCTTGCTTAGTGAAACTTTCCTTGTTTTCATTTTAATATCCTCTGCTGGATTTAGGTGCCAAAAGGGCCACTATTTTCTAGAAAAAGAGATATATAATGGTTGAGAGCCTGGGCTTCTAAATATGACTGCTGTGCTACACATTCATTCTGACAACTTCTGAGCTGAATTGCCTTTCTTAGGCAAGTCACTGAACCTGAGTGCATCTTCGTTTCCTGGTCTGTAAGGTATATATAATAAAGATTATCATCATGTGAGGTTGTTGGGAAGATAAATAGAGATAGACCTTGCAAAGCACTTTGCAGAATATCTGGCAGGTAGATTAGGGTCAACAAATATTAGCTACTTATATTATTTGACTTTAATTATTCCTACTCCTGCTCTTCTTTTGAAACTCTAACACATCACAAGAGTAAAATTTCAAGAATGTCTTATAGAAAACATTTTTGGACGTTTATTAAAACTGAATTCAGAGAATGCTGACTTCTATCCTTTATTTAAGCATCCATTTATTTTTGAGCTGTAATAACTTCCCAGGCTCTTGAGATGAAACAAATAATATAAAGGTAATAGGGCACATCTACTGCCTCCAAGAAGCTCACAGTGTGGTGTGAAAGACAGCTAACAAGCATTACAGATCAGTATGAACAGTATACAGGAAATGAATATGATGGAATAATCATTACTACTGGATGGATAGGAATTGTCCAGGAGGTCTTCATGGAAGAGGTGGTATCTGACTGAAATGAGCACTAGGCATTTGCTGAATGCATATGTAATGGAGTCGTCAATCTGTCTATCTTATGGCTCTTTGGAACTTAAATAAATTTTGAAAACTAGTACGTTTTTCTGTCTCTGTCTCTGTTTTTGTTTCTATATTGCCTCTCTCTGTCTCTGTCTCTGTCTCTCTGTCTCTCTCTCTCTCTCTCTCTCTCTCTCTCTGTCTTCCACTCTCTCTCTGTTTCACCATGACTCCTTCTGTGCAGGCTGAGTTAAAATGAGTTAAACAAAAAAAATCCCAGAAAGTAAATGTCACTCTTGCTTACAGATCTTGCTTATAATTTTGCTTATCCAAGTCTTGCTTCCTCCACCCAAAACAACTTTTCTTTTTAAAACATTAAAATGGAAACTAAATCCAATTATTAGTATGTAATTACCTTTGAGTTCTCAAACTAGAGCAGCCATCATATTAGAGACTCCCCCCTCCCTTTTTATTTCAGCAAATCCAGATGACAGGAGTATCACAAAAAGAATACAATTCTTTTGCATATTAAAAAAAGTATGTGAAATAATTGCCACAGCTGGTAAATTGATTATGGGAAAATCTGGAGAAGGAGAGCACAGGATGTGCTGAAAAGCAGCTTGAACCATCCATCACTGGAATTATGTGTGAGTCCCAGAGAATCCGCACAGTCTTGTCCTGCCAAGACCCCTCATATAACTATGCACAACCCAGGCTACCAACACGACACATTGCACAAGAAATTACACATTTTAAATTAGGTGCCTGAAAGAGATGCTCTAGCTGCAAAGTGGAGACAGCTGCACTAAGATATTTGGCCATATCTATTTTCTGTGGCTTAGCTCAATTTATTAAGAAGGAGCCGCATGTTTTAGATCTCTGTCACGAAGGCGCTAAGGCATGGTGATGAAGAGACTGAGTTCTGGAGATAGTGTTGATTCCAATCTCATCACTTGTGATTCCTACTTGTATGGCCTTGGGTAAGCTGTTTAACCTCTTACGTGCCCTAGCTTACATGGCTGTACATTAGGGAAATAATAGCACCCGATTTATAGTGTTCTTCTGGTAACTCAATAAGGCAAATATAAAGTGTTTAGCTAGTAGCTGTCATAATTAATGGCTAGTAAAAGTTGAGTATTGCCTTCCTATTATTCTGTCAGTTTACATTGTGTATTAATGCACTGTGTTCTTCCAACTCATGTGGCCTTCAAATGGTTGCTCAGTGAAGGAATGAGTAAATAAGCACCTTACCTTTATATAGTTTTGAAATAAATCAAATAAATTTTTTTCTTTGATTTCAGTCTTGCAATAATAACATATTTTATTCTATAATTTGAACAAGTGATGCCTTTAATTGGAAAATCACATTATTAAATATCCATAATGCTCAGAAATAATAAATAGATTATTTTTAGGATTTTTTCATTTTTCTTGTAGCTATTTATCACTTATTCATCTTGTCATTGGTTAGTACTCATTTGCAGACAAAAGGTTGCCAATGCTAATATATATACATATGAAAAAGTAATAGATTATCATGAAAAGATGGAAGACTTAAGTAAATCATGAAAGTTCACTCTTGCACATGAACATTCATTGAGAACCACTCTACAGATGTCTTGACGTGAAAGACATAGAATTTTCTTCCTGTATTTTATCACAAGGGACAATATAGTGTAAAAGTGGAGTTAGAAATTAGATACCACTAGAATCTGACATCTAGATTGCATGTAACACACTATTCTTATTAACTATAACTAAGCACATATTGTGAAGATTTGAGCTTCAGAGAAGTTTTATAAAATATAAATAAAAAGACACCTAACATTTCCTTTAATGAATATCCTGGGCAGCATTAAAGAGGAAATGAATCATCCCAGATTTCTTGAGAAAACTGTTAAATCAGTGGCTGCATTGCAATTGATCAGGAATGTTTTGTCAGTTTTGAATTGTTCTTTTGTCCAGCACACATTCCCAGCAAATGTGTGATGACTTTTACTAAAATCCACTGGAGTGATGCACTTACCCTTCTCTGCTTTTTTTGAGACCTTTATTTCTAAACTCACCTCTTCTCTTGCTCCATGCTTATTCCTGAGCCTTCACTGAAGTAGAGGGGTTTTCCTTGTTAGGATTATCATTTGGATGGTGCATTTTTTCCTAAGCATTTTTTTTTTGGTATTTTCTACTATGGATAAGTAGGAAGCTGTAAATCTACAGATTTTACCTTCTTTAAAGATTTCCTTTTTTATTTTTTTATTTATATATATTTATATATATATTTATTATACTTTAAGTTCTAGGGTACATGTGCACAACGTGCAGGTTTATTACAACATGTGCCATGTTGGTGTGCTGCACGCATTAACTTGTCATTTACATTAGGTATATCTCCTAATGCTATCCCTCCCCGCTCCCCCCACCCCACAACAGGCCCGGGTGTGTGATGTTCCCCTTCCTGTGTCCATGTGTTCTCATTGTTCAATTCCCACCTATGAGTGAGAACATGCGGTGTTTGGTTTTTTGTCCTTGCGATAGTTTGCTGAGAATGATGGTTTCCAGCTTTATCCATGTCCCTACAAAGGACATGAACTCATCATTTTTTATGGCTGCATAGTATTCCATGGTGTATATGTGACACATTTTAAAGATTTCCTTCAGGTAGAGCAGGGGGCGGGCAAACCTGTTTGTATCTTTTACTGCAGCATATTCAATTCCAGCTTTACTACTGACAAAATATATCTTTATTTTCTAAAACTACCTTATTTATTTATTTTTTTTAAATTTGGGAGTGTTTATTTTGGCTCATGCTTTTCCATTCCTAAATGGTAGCTCTCATTGGTCTCTCAGAGAACAAGTGTGTCTGTGAGACTTCTTTTCTCACTTGCATTAACAACCATATGCCTTGGTAAAGAGAGTGGTAGTACAGGGATTCCTCTGAAGGTTTCCCATTAAAATGGAAGATGTAGTAGAGAAAAAAAAGAGCAAGTTGTCAGTAATAATGTTTTATCTTAATGTTGTCAAGTGACTTCTGGAGTTATCCCTGGCACATTTGTGAATATTTGCCTCAACCACAGAGTCTGCTTTACAAAATCCTTTTGTGCTAGAAGAGACTATTTAAAATTGTACTCATGGTGCTGTCTCCAGGCAGGAATCTGTTATTAGCAGTAGTGATAATGAAGGCTGCAGACATGTCATGACATTGGTTGCCCTCAGGATAAGAGCAGATCAAGGCTTTGGGAGGAAAGGACAGAGAGGGAGAATTACTCCTCGTCACTGCCAGATTTTGTGGCTACCAGCAAAGGATCGTTTTAAGCTGCAACTCAGGAAATTGAGAAAATATGGCAGCTCCTACACTGATGATTGCTCCCCTCAGTCTTCCCTCTTCAGGGCTGTTGTCTCCGGAGACTCTATTGAGGTACCAGGTCATGGCAGAGTTTCCCCCGCAAATAATTGAAAAAATTACTTCATCCATGTATAGAGGGGATTCAAGGTCCACGCAGTGAGCTGAACTATTAGTAACACTGTTTTTACATACCTGTACACACCCACACCCAAAGCACACATGTTGTTTTGACAATAATGGCTATGAAGTGAGTGTTTAAATGACTAATATGTATCCAAGGTGTGGGGGGAAGTTATTTTCTATTTATCAGAGAAGCTTTTGAAAATGCAACAAAATAGAATTGAATTGAAACAAAAATATTTATATACCACAAATTTGAAACGAATATTTACTAATCCATTCCTCCTCTCTCGAAAACAAAGTATGTGAAAGGCTGAGAGGTTGTGTCACATTGATGCAATTATATAATTCATTTGTATTCTGGGCTTTTCTTAAACAAAACAGAGACTACAATAATAAAAAAGGAAAGGCTGTATGAAATTCAGGAATGTACTTATTTTAGTTTGAAACTAAGTAGTATTGAATATGAAACTTGCAAATCTTTGGTTCTACTTCCTTTTATTCAAAGATCAAAATGTTCTTTATACACTGGAGAAGAAAATGCTGGGTACATTTTGGATTCAGTAGATATCACCAACTCTTTTTCTTTTTTTAAGTGTTCTGACTTTGGCAGAAGCCAAGAAGCAGTTTGCAAAGCACTTTTCCTTAATATTTAAATTCCCTTTGAGGTTTAAGAGAAATTTAATCCACATGTTTCTAATTCATTTGCCCTCAACTCATAAAAAATGTTCTTCAATTTGATCTCATTGCAGTCCAGGGGCATTAAAAAGCTTTCAAATGAGCCTTCCGCCTTGAATTGAAATCCAGATGTTGTGTTTTGTCAGCTCTAAGCAAATTTGAAACTCAAAAAAGTCTTGGTCATAAATGAGAAGGCACAGATGGTTTTGGAACTGAGGGAGAAAAAAAAATTCACAGATAATAGAAACTCTCTTAAAACATAAGGAACTATCATTTTTTAAGAATTTCATTCAACTGGTGAGTAACATTATGCTCATTTAAAGATGGCAGACTCTGCGTCTAAAGGAAATTGAATGATCTGGGGCCAAAGTGTGAATGAGAATACAGCCAAGAATAGACTCTCAGAGCCCTTCTTTATACTAATCACGAGTAGTGATTAAAATAAATAAATAGTAGGAGGGTGAAAAGGATGGAACCAAATGCTAAAGCCATATGGTAACACCATCCGGGAGAGGGAAAAAAAAGGTTATTTTTCACATGTCAAATATTCCCTCACATTAGCCACCAAGAAGATGGGGAGGGGAGAAGCGATTGAATGTTGTGCAATACAAGGCAAAAACAGTCACATTCTAAACAATTTTATTTCTGGCATTTCCCAGGAAGTTCAGCATTTCGACATTCAAATCCAGCCACTCAATTTAAAGCATTTTGAGGCAAAATATGGTTCCATTTTGCTTAAATGTGAAGTCTATTTTAAAAATACTTATTTTTTCTACATCTTTAAACCAATATGTCTATTTGTACTGGCATAAACATATTATTAACTGGCAGTGAGTAGTCTTTTTTATCTTAGAATATAGACTAATTTTTCTGCCTCATTTATAAATGTTTTCTAAAGCAGGATGAATTTACCAAAATGTTATGCACTTTATACTGATGACTTCCATCTAACAACAGTTTTGAAAACACCATAAAACTACTTTGATAAAAACTCTGTAGCTAAACATTGTTTTACTTAGTTTAGCCGGAGTATAGATGTTAGTTGGTTTTTCCCTTAAAAATTCCTTTAGAATCAAACGAGCCTCAGTTCAAATTCTAGCTCTGTATTTACAAACTAGGTGAGTTGGGGAATCATCAGCAGTATTGAAACTCAATTGCTACACTTTTGATTAAAATAGTCAGGGAAAGATGTTCTCTTTGGGGCTTACTAAGAAGACAGATTTGACATCTGCAACTGCTTGTAGCTTCTGCTGGTATGAATGGAAATTGTCTGTGGATGGAGCCCCCATGGAAGAGAGGGGAGCGAAAAAGAGTATGAGTTCTGACGGCAATTGACTAAGTGCCTGGAATCAGCTATACCTGAAACCTTCCAACTACATGAGACAATTCATTCTCCCTTTAGCATAAGCCACTATGAATTCAGTTCTTCTTAACAGAAGTGTTTTGTTTAAATGTAAAGTATACATAGATAAATGCATTTTATCAATTCACAGTAAGATGTTTTTCCTAAAAAGGTGACCAATCACAATTATTTCTCTTCTTATTGTTGCTGTTATTCCTGCTGTTGATTATTACTTGCGACCTAAAATAACAATAAAATATAGCTTCATTTTTTTCATCCTGAGCAGGATCTAAATGGTTATTTTGATTCTTAGTCCCAGTCCCGAAACCCCGCAGAGCTTTTGGCATAGGCAACTACTTTGTTCAAAGAAAAAAATCACTCCTCTTCTTAGATATGCCCAGCAGGTCTATTAAACTACTGTGATTTTTCAGCCACTCACAGTTACTGCACATTGCTTACAACTGTGTTTCAACAGATCCTTCACACTTTTTTTTTCTTTTTTTATTCCCTCTCTGCACATGGGTGCACTATTCAATACCTGCTTGGGTAGCCTGATACCATTGATTCTACATGAGTTCTACTGCCTCTGGTTGTTGACCACCTGATATTGGCATTTTCTTTTGAAAGTGAATCTTAATTTATATCAGTAAGGTTGATAAAGGAGCCAGGGAGAGAAGAATTTTAAGGATAATGATTTTGTTCAGAAGTAGGAAAAATAAGAAAATGACTGTACGCCAAATACAAAAAAATGGCAAATAGTGGAAATAAATGTAAAAGGACCATCTTTTTTCAATTATGGTTGAAGGAAAGAATCCTTAAGGCCTCGGGAAAAGGAGCCACATTTGAATTACTTTCTTTTGTACCCCAGGAGCTAGCACAGTAAGAAGCATTGTCAGAGCTTCTTACTCTCACTTGTTTAAGGACTGGGCCAATACTGATGGCCAAGGCCTCAGCAAAGATGGTAGAAATAGGTTTTAATTCTTAGCTTTTTTTCTCATGAGTTTCCACATGCAATTGTTAGGAATCATAAATGTATCTCTAGTCCTAATTTATGGAGGTTTTGGGGTAAGTTTATTTGCGCAATGACAGAGTTACTCTTTGGCTATGTAGTCCCTAGTTGATAAATAAAGTTTCCTGAATTCTTTCCTATCACTAGCATCTAAACATCTTCCCTTGGATACTAAGAGATTAGGAGAAAGAGAAAACCCAATTACAGTATTTTGGGGCTTGGTTTAGTGGCTGGTGGAAAGTGAGATTACAGTTCTACGGATGGTTGGTTAGATGTGGAGGATAGTACTGAACAAAGACAAACACAATCTGTCTTCTTTGGGTCAAAGGCGACTTTTGTGATGGCCAGTGCATCCCTAAAACTTTTTATTAGTGACGAGGACATTCATAAATAGCATCCGTGTCTATAGTTTTGACTCCTTCCCCCCTAACCCCACTAATGCTCTGATGCAAATTTTATCACTACACATTGCCATGTCACTGTTGTATTCCTCCAGGAGATTATTAGTTCTTAGCACAGCATAATGTTTCCCTGATATTTTTTAAAATGTTGATATATGACTTCCAGTTGACTTTGCTTGCCCATTCTGTGTCTTTCCAAGGGTAGAGATAACCAATGCAAGGTGATCTACAAATGGAATTTGTCTTGGTGTCAGTGTACGTATACTGTGAAAAAATGTGTATGCATGTGTATGAGTTTGTGTGTATTTTAAATCACTTACTTTAACCAAGATATCACACTACCAGTGCCATTTTTAAAACCAAAGGGTTTAGTTGGATAATCAATGGTGCTCTAAAGAGATGAGACTTGGTGGCTCAATCAGAGAATAAAAGGATATTCCAACAGTTGTGCTAAACCCTGCAAAGCTCAAATAATCTCAATTTTCAAATTAACTTATTATTCCAAACTACCTGCTCTTTTTCATTGACACCACTAAACAATCATTCCTAAGGGAATTATGGGTATTTGCACATCAGCCAATTCAGCTTAAATTCATTAATATTTCCATTTTTGTCTGAAAATAAGTGCTTGTAAAATTACATAAATACCCACAGTGGTGTTTATTTTACTTGATACTATAAAGAAAAGAGGGTAAAGTTTAAAAATGCTTATAACAGATAACTATTTTATGTGTGAAAACAGGGACCCACTTCTAACTGTCATTCGACTTTGTATTTATTCTGTAAAGTCAAAGAGCAAAATTAAATAACAAGGCTTACATGCTTCAAATAATATTTTTAGAGATGATAGTTAAAATGAGAGATGTAACTAGAGAACTTAAAATCACACTTATTTCTCTGGGAATGGAATTCCTCTTAAAACAAATCACTTTTACCATGGATCTAAGAATTGTGTTGCAGAATGAGAGACCGTAGAGGTTGCTTCCTTACAAATAAGCTGCAGTGACAAACTTTCATCTGAAGTTTACTACTATGATTTCTTTATAGCCTGAATATTTTTGATATCTTAATCATTTTTATAACCTAGGGGAGTGGATAGCAATCCCAAAGCGTATCACTCCAAACCAATGGCAAAGAACATTCTACCAATTGATAAGGATTAAAATATTTTATTTCTACAGAATATCAAAGAAAACTGTATAGCTTTCCCATCATGTTCTTTGTTTTACCTTTAAAGTTATAAACAAACACTTTACTGATTTTTTTTTTAGCAATGATGCTCCATTTTGATCATTACCAGCATCTCACTGATATCTTCTGTCAGGTTCCCATGCAGTCACCTTAGCCATATCTGTTTTGCAGCTGTGCTTGGGATTCTTTTGTAGAATAACATTTATTCATCCTAATTTAGGGTTAATTCAGAGATGGGTGAGTTCCTATTTCACATGTCTTAGTGGGACTGTTTAGTTAACAACTACATTAAACCACGTTCATGCCAGTTATTTTGAGGCAGGAGACCTACAGGGCTCATTTTCAGGTTCAGACAGGATAAAGTGAAGAAACTGGTCAGAACAAACAGATGGCAATGAAAGCAACCTGTAGTTTCCCTCATTGCTCATCAGCATGAGACACTCCCACCAGCGCCATGACGGTTTACAAATACCGTGGAAATAACCCGAAAGTTACTGCCCTGTTCCATGGCAGCCACCTGAAAGTTACTGCCTCTTTTTCAGAGATTTCTGAATAACCTTCCCCTTAATTTGCATGCAATTAAAAGTGGGTATAAATACACATAGCCAATACCACAAGGGCTCACTCTGGGAGCACAGCCTAGGAATTAGCCCTGCTCCACAAGGAGCAGCTTGGGTTCAATAGAAGTTGCTGTCTATCACCACCAGCTCACACTTGAATTCTTTCCTGGGCAAAGCCAAGAACCCTCACAGGCTAATACCAATTTTGGGGCTTGCTTTCCCTGCATCAATTTGACATAGAAACCATCATTAATATATTTCACCTGTTTACACACATGTTTAACATCTGCTGTGTGAAAAATACTGTAAAGGAGCTGAGTAGCAAGGCGAGAGAAAGTCAAGAATGAATGAGAAGCCCCTGTAAGGATGGCCAACAAGAGAGCACACCGTTTCTCTACACTGGTGGAACAGAGTGGGCCTTGGAAGTGTGTGTTAAGAAGAAAGGAGAGTTTACCCTGCCTATATGAGATGATGCCTTTGCAAAGGATATAACATTAATTGGATCTTTTAATTACTATCATTTATTGCAGAGGGTTTCTTTAATGTTTTCATTGTCAGTGTGTGTTTTAGGCTTCTCTGGGGTTACTGGAAAGATGTTTCTGTAAGTGAGAATACTCCAATATGCAATGTATTTTCAAGTTAATTTTATGCCTAGGATTTTTGTTTTGTTTTGTTTTCTCTTAGCCATTGGGAATAATGACCACAGGTATGTACCGAACAGTACATTTCTCTCCACCTCCATCACCACCACATAATTCCAATGAGCTTCTGTATTGATTCTCTTTCTTCTTTCCTTGCCAACTTTGGTGCGTTCTCTATCCACAGCAAAGAGAAAATGTAAATCAATTTGTCATTTCCCTGCTATTGACTTTCCAAAGGTTCAGCAAGATCTGACTTCCTCTTTGATTGGTACCATGCCCCTTTGCCAAGTACATTCAAGTCTTCTGACAAGAACATTATTTCTTCCACTCTTTGGCTGGCTGATTCTTCATTCTGTAGAGTCTCCGCATAAATATTCCTTCCCAGAAAAGTCTTTCCTAATATTCTGTTATATTATTTCGTAATATCCTGTGCTTTTTCACTATAACATGCTTCATTATTTGTAATTTGCATATGTATCTATTTTTCATAATAGATTATAAACCTGATAAGAATTGAGGCAGTGTAGACCTCTTCCCTATCACAGTGTTTACCATGTATAAAGCATTCAAGAAAATTTTTTTCTGAATGAATTAATCTCATAACCATAACATTTAGGCTAAATATTTCATCAATAGGTTTATCATGTATATTGACCATTGTGTACTGTGAGTTTAACTTCCTAAGGATTGAGGGGGAAAAACAAAACAAGACAAAGATCTTAGGCATAAAACTAATTGGGAAATATATTGCATATTGGAATATTCTTACTTTTCTTTCCTGTGCAATTGAACCTAAATTCAATATGTTCCTACTGTAGGCTATGTTTACCAAAATCAAACCACATTCAGCTATGGATAACCTGTCTTTGAACATATGCTGTAGACTGCATTCTACCAGATGAGTGGGGAACAAGCTGTGAGACTAAACTTTTATCATCATCTCTATAAATCAAGATGAAAGCTATAGACTTCCTCCTGTGGACCTCACACTGCCTTTAGAAAAACAAAAAGTTGAAATATTTAGGTTGAAAAATAAGCAAATCTGAAAACAATTATTTGGCATTAATAGAACAGCATTAAATATTCTATGTCTTTAAAGATCTGCATGAAGGAGAATTCCAAAAATGCTAGGAAGCATAATTGCAGATACCTGGCCCAAAAGCATGGCCAGTATTTTAATATCTCAGTTAATGATGCCAACTCCAACATAAAATAGATTTCCTCCAAATATTTTTATATGTTTAAATATATTCACTTTTTCTTGAACATAAGTAGAGACTAATTCTAAGCCAATTGAGGTTATATTTTGCACATTGCTCATTTTATATATTTATTTATTTTTAGTATATTGCAAAATAGTTCCTACAGCAATAAAATGGTCTTTATTTTGAACTTGAAAAATGAAAAGAAATGAGATTAAATATAAATGGGGACAAGTTTCAAGCTCCATATCAAATGCAGAGCATAGTATTCTGATTATCTAAGGGATGTTAAGGATCGTAAATGTTCTTTTCTAGAATATCAGGCCGGTAAAAAAAGTTTAATATTCATTTGCCTGTGGGTAGTAGATAAATCAATTGTGCGCATATTGTAGTATTTACTACACTTAATAGGTAAACATTAAAAATAAACGTATAATTTTCTAATGATTATCCTTTTAAGAAAAAGTGCTTATTTTTAGCAGCAGAAGGAATTTTTTTAATTGAATTTAATAACACATTGATAGAAGGCTGGATTTAATCCAACTATAAAATGAAATTAGAGTTACATTTCATACTACCAACCTTTGTGGACGTTAATCTAATTTAAATGCTGTTTACAGCTCACTTACTCTTTATTTTAATATTGCAATGATAGAAAATAGATTTAATTGTGACAAATATATTTAGTTTCTACATAAAAACAATGTTTTCTTGTACTGCCCTTTTATCTGAAGATTTCTAAATACTTCCATATATCCCATCTTATTTCCTCTTCTCGTCATCTTATGAAGTCTAATAGAAAAATAAAATTTGATTATAATTCAGGGAATTTACTTTTGATTTTATTTTGTTTCTGCCTTCTGATCGACTGGGTCTTTGTGAGTAAATGATTTGCTGAATCAATCAGTGCCTCAATTTCTCTAGGTATGAAATAAGAGTTACCTCTGCTGTTTCTTTTTTGCTGCATAGTCAAATGCAATATCTTGAAATTAAATATCTGTGCCTCCACTGAAAATGATGCCATATAAACTCAAGCAATACTTATTTGTATTTACTAGTTGACAAACTAATTTACTTCTGAAGTCAGTTTTTGAAAGAGATTCAACCTTGGTACACTGAGCTTCCCTAGAATCTTTAATGGCAGGGAGCAGAAATTCCTTAGCTAGTGCCCTCATCAAAGAGAACATTTGATATTTTACTATTTTGTGGCTTCAGGGAAACACAATTCAATTTTGACTCATTTTGACAGTTAAAAAAATGAGCCCTTGTTTGGAGCATGAAACAAAAATGTAGAAATTGGAAAGAAAAATAAATTCTGGTGAGCATCAAATCTGTGTCAAGTATTGTGCTAGTAGATGCTTTATTAACTTCTCTAGTAGACTGGCAGATAAAATACAAGACACCAAGTTTAATCTGAATTTCAGATAAAAAAGAAACCATATATATAGTATATAGTATAAGTATATATCATATAGAGTATATAGTGTATAAGTATATATTATATATAGTATATAGTGTATAAGTATATATTATATAGAGTATATAGTGTATAAGTATATATTATATAGAGTATATAGTGTATAAGTATATATTATATAGAGTATATAGTGTATAAGTATATATTATATAGAGTATATAGTGTATAAGTATATATTATATAGAGTATATAGTGTATAAGTATATATTATATAGCGTATATAGTGTATAAGTATATATTATATAGAGTATATAGTGTATAAGTATATATTATATAGAGTATATAGTGTATAAGTATATATTATACAGAGTATATAGTGTATAAATATATATTATATAGAGTATATAGTGTATAAGTATGCACCATGTAATATTTGGGAAATACTTCTATTGAGACAACTTGTTCATCTAAAATTCTAATTTAACTAAGTACCAAGCATTTTTGATAAATCTGGCAACCCTATTCTTATGGCATCTCTGCAAGGTAGGCTCATACCATCTAATATACAACTGGGAAAACAAAGTTTCAAAAAGCTTATATTACAGAGCTTGGATTACTCAACTAGCAAGTGGCAGAGGTGGAAATAAAACTCAGCTCTGTCTTCTGTAATCACAGAGTTGTTTCAGAATTCCCCTCTTATTTACCTAGCACATTAACATATTCGACTGCAGAATCAACAGCAACGCCCTCCATCACCAATAGAAACATTGCTGCTTAGCTAAACAGATCAAGAGAAAAGGACATAATTCATTTCATTCCACCTCCTCCCCAGGCAAAATTTCCTTGCTCCACGACTTCTGACAAAGGAAAAAGAACATTCTCGCTTACTCTTCCCACGTAGTACAGCTGCAACTACATTCCCTCAGGGTGAGAAACCCAAGGTATACACAGAGAACTGAGGGACATATTTACAGTCTCCTAAGTTCCCATCTTTTCTCCCGTATCAGCATTTATCATTTTTGTGGTGAGACGTATTTTGGGAAGCATGGCGGTAATTCCCTCAAAGCAACAGTTCCAGGACTCCACAGAGCCTTAGGTGGCCATCCGTGGTCTGTAGATTCTGAAGGGTGAAAGAAAATCTGAGCTTACTCGCAGTTAAAGTGATGGAAGTGGCAGCTATTAAAGCTATTAGTTACTATTTTCTGTCCTGAAAGAAAAGGAGAGAGGATATTAACACTGGGGACAAAGGAAGATGTATTGCTGAGCTTCGAGCTTCCGAAGCCTTGCCCTGCAATCTGTGCTGCTGCTCCCACACAGTTTGGCAGGGGACAAACAGTGAGTAGTGTTCTATTTTTAATTTTAAACTTTTAAGCAGAAGGCCATCAAGAATAATCTGCTCAGTAAACATTTGGTCTCGAGTCTTAGCATTTCTTTCTGTTCAGCAAACAGTATCACAAATGTTAAATGTTAGAGAAGAACCAATGGCATGTGTGTTTTAGCAAGTCGATTCTTTGCCAAGAATATCTCTGGATTTTTACTATCCTGAGCAGTTTAGGAAATAAATGATAAACATAGCTGGAAGGTGGTGAACTCAGGAATAAAGAATGGACTTTCTAGCCAGATAGACACAAGTTCAAGTGCCAGCTCCACGATGTACATGCTGTGTGACCTTGGATGTGTTTCTTAAATTTCCTACACCTGTTTCCTCTGAGAGTAGACTTAATGGCAGTACCTACTTTATTGCAAAGATGAAAAGAGGTTTTGTGCATGAAATGCAAAGCAGTACCATGGAAATATTGGACATCCAAAAATGCCTGTCAATTCCTCTGACTTACACCTGCTTCTTAAACTTAGAGAATGCAATTTATTGAGACGAAAGGGAGCTATATTGAGCAAAATAAAACTGTAGATGTAAAGGCATGATATTCTGTTATTTAAAAATATATCATATGTTATTAATGCTTTGAGCATATAGGCTTGCCATAGATCCAAATGCAATAGTGTTGGCTTATGTGGTCGTCTTCATATTTATCTGATTCCCACAATCCATCTCTGATGGGTTCAGTGCAAGAACCATCAATATACTTTAGTATAAGAAACTTTCAGACGTTTGGGATGGTGTGTCATTGGAATTAAGCGATTCGTGTGGTAATACATTTTCTATTAAACTTGTATCAAAATAAATACTCATGAGGAACCTAGTGGAAAGAACTCATTATTAGGGAAAATAGGTGCACCAGATGGCTTTTACTTTTATAGATTTATTTTATGAGACAGGATCTCCCTCTGTCACCAAGGCTGGAGTGCAATGGCACCATCATGGCTCATTGTAGCCTTGAACTCCTGGGCTCAAGCAATCCTCCCGCCTCAGCCTCTCAATGTGCTAAGATTACAGGCATGATTACCGTGCCTGGCCTTCCAATGGCTTTTACGCAAAGATTTTTTTTTCCAACTTTGAGATTCTGCATAGAGTCTTAGTACAAATTCTATAACCAATTCATTGAATCTGATTTAATTCATCTATAAATTCATTAAAAGTGCATTTATTGTCCTCCAACTATGTGTTTGACACTGATGCAGGCACTCTGTTAACTAACACTATGTAGAAATCACGGAGAAACTATATTGAATTGTAGTGAGGAGAGAGAAAAAAATGTCAACCAATAGTTCCTTGTTACTGTACATTGAGCAATATATTTTATCCCATTACATTTTATTTGTGTCACTTCCATTCTGCTCTCAGTATGAACAGACAAGGCTAATATTGTTTCCAGTGAAGGCCTGACAGCTATTCTGTTGATTTGTTTGGCATTACATTTGAGCTGCACTCATGCGGCCCAGAATGCTGAAGGATGGCTTGGCTGAAAAGAATGGGCAATATGCCCTAGGGAGAAAGGACAGAATTTGGAAGACTAGAGGAATTTGGAATCAGTACTTGGACATATATGGTCTGCTAAGGATCTGAAAATTCCCACATTGTAGTTTGAGGTAGCTAAAAGGGAGATAACCTTTACCCTCCATGACAATGCCTGGAGCTGCACAGGCTAATTTTAAATATTATGAGCTTTGATATCACATGGTCTAATCCTTGTCTCTGTTATAATGAGCCCTACATGTTGCTTTGTCAGCAACCTTTTCCACAAACTGTACCCTGTTTTTTTTCTTTGAGAAAATCTACCTTTCCCCAGGGGCTGGAATTGACCAAAATTAACCGTAATTTATCATTCAAGCCTTACCCTGAAAGTTGGGATCCTTCAATATATTCGAGTTCCAAAATAGTTACATTAGACAGATTCTGCCAGTCGAATTATTATATAGGTGGGGTGACAGATTTCTGGGGCTTTCTGCTTTACCATCTTCCCAGAATCCTCCACTGCTGGTCTATTTTTAACATATGCTTTATAATATGTGTTCGTATAAAGACTAAATATATTAATTTTTAATTTATATAAATTCTACTATTTTGCACATTCTGCAACTTGCCTAACATTGTTTTTGAGCCCTGTTCATGATGACTCGTGTTATCCTTGTTATTTATGTTATCTGTTGTATAGCATTCCACCATATGACTATATTGATGATCGTGTAGGTTATTCCCTGTATTTTGCAATTACAAATGATATCTCATAGGTGGTTGCTTTCGAGTGTGTGAGCGTTTTCAAAAAGTGAATAACTAGATGCGAATTCTAGGTCAGATAAAAGTATATACCTTCTCAGTTGTACCAGATATTGCTAAATTCATCTTCACCTTCCGATCCTCTCAAATTACAAATGTACACATACACACACAGACACACAGACACACACACACACACACACACACACTTGATTATTTGAGCCCAAGAGTTTGAGACCAGCCTTGGCAACATGAAAAGAGACTGTCTCTACAAAAAATGTTTAAATTAACCGGGTGTGGTGGTAAGCACCTGTTGTCCCAGCTGCTTGAGAGGGTGAGGTGGGAGAATCACTCGAGCCTAGGAGGTTTAGGTTGCAATGAGCTGTGATCATATCACTGCCTTCCAGCCTGGGTGACAGAGGAAGACTCTACCAATATTAGTTTGTTCTCATGCTGCTGATAAAGACACACCCGAAACTGGGAACAAAAAGAGGTTTAATTGGACTTACAGTTCCACATGGCTGGGGAGGTCTCACAATCATGGCGGTGGCAAGAGGAAAATGAGGAAGAAACCAAAGTGGCAACCCCTGATAAACCCATCACATCTTGTAGGACTTATTCACTATCACGATATAGCAAGGGAAAGACCGGCCCCCATGATTCAGTTACCTCTCACTGGGTCTCTCTCACAACATGTGGGAATTCTGGGAGATAAAATCCAAGTTGAGATTTTGGTGAGCACACAGCCAAACCATATTCTTCCACCCCTGGCCCCTCCAAATATCATGTCTTCCCATTTCAAAACCAATCACGCCTTCTCAGCAGTCTCACAAAGTCTTAAGTCATTTCAGCATTAAACCAAAAGTCCACAGTCCAAAGTCTCATCTGAGACAATTCAAGTCCCTTCCCCCTATGAGCCTGCAAAATCAAAAGTAGATACAATGGGGGTGTAGGTAGATACATTCCCAGATACAATGGGGGTACAGGTATTTGGCAAATACAGCCATTCCAAATCGAAGAACCTGGCCAAAACAAAGGGGTTACAGGGCCCATGCAAGTCTGAAATCCAGCTAGGCAGTCAAATTTTGAAGGTCCAAAATGATTTCCTTTGACTCCAGGTCTCACATCCAGGTCAGGCTGATGCAAGAGGTGGGTTTCCAGGATCTTGGGCAGCTCCACCCCTGTGGCTTTGCAGGGTACAGCCTCCTTCCTTGCTGCTTTCATGGGCTGGCATTGAGTGTCTGCAGCTTTTCCAGGCTCACGGTGCAAGTTGTCAGTGGATCTACCATTCTGGGGTCTGGAGAACAGTAGCCCTCTTCTCACAGCTCCACTAGGCAGTGCCCTAGTAGGGACTCTGTATGGGGACTCCAATGCCACATTTCCCTTCTGTGCTGCCCTAGCAGAGGTTCTCCATGAGGTCCCTGCCCCTGTAGCAAACTTTAGCCTGGACATCCAGGTGTTTCCATACAGCTTCTAATATCAAGGTGGAGGTTCCCAAACCTCAATTCGTGACTTCTGTACACTGCAAGCTCAACACCACCTGAAGGCTGCCAAGGCTTGGGGCTTGCATCCTCTGAAGCCATGGCCCAAGCTCTGCGTTGGCCCTTTTCAGACATGGCTGGAGCGGGTGAGACACAGGACACCAAGTCCCTAGGCTGCACCCAGCACTGGGACCCTGGGCCCAGCCCACAAAACCACTTTTTCCTCCTAAGCCTTCAGATCTGTGATGGGAGGGGTTGCCATGAAGGTCTCTGACATGGCCTGGAGATATTTTCCCCCTGGTCTTGAGGATTAACATTAGGCTTCTTGCTACTTATGCAAATTTCTGCAGCTGGCTTAAATGTCTCCTCAAAAAATGAGTTTTTCTTTTCTACTGCATCATCAAGCTACAAATTTTCTGAACTTTTATGCTCTGTTTCCCTTTTAAAATGGAATGCTTTTAACAGCACCAAAGTCACCTTTTGAATGTTTTGCTGCTTAGAAATTTCTTTTGCCAGATACCCTAAATCATCTCTCCCAAATTCAAAGTTTCACAAATCTCTAAGGCAGGGGAAACATGCCACTAGTCTCTTTGCTAAGACATAACAAGACTCACCTTTGCTCTAGTTCCCAACAAATTCCCCATCTCCATTTGAGACCACCTCAGCCTGGACCTTGTTGTTCATATCACTATCAATTTGTCAAAGCAATTCAACAAGTCTCTAGGAGGTTCCAAACTTTCCCACATTTTCCTTTCTTCTTCTGAGCTCTGCAAACTATTCCAACCTCTGCCTGTTACCCAATTCCAAAGTCACTTCCACATTTTCAGATATCTTTTCAGGAATGCCCCACTCTACGGGTACGAATTTAGTGTTAGTTCCTTTTCATGCTGCTGATAAAGACACACCCAAACCTGGGAACAAAAAGGGGTTTAATTGGACTTACAGTTCCACATGGCTGGGGAGGCCTCAGAATCATGGTGTGAGGCTAAAGGCACTTCTTACGTGGCAGTGGCAAGAGAAAAATGAGGAAGAAGGAAAAACGGATGCCACTGATACACCCATCAGATCTCATGAGAGTTATTCACTATCATGAGACTAGCACTGGAAAGACTGGCCCCCATGATTCAATTACCTCACCCTGGGTTCCTCCCACAGCAGGTGGGAATTCTGGGAGTTACAATTCAAGTTGAGATTTCAGTGGGGATGCAGCCAAACCATGCCATTGTCTCAAAAAAAAAAATAAACAAATGATGATAATTTTTTCTTTAAGATGCTCAATGAATTTGGGTCCATTTAAGAAGTGAAAATAATTCCACCACTGTCTTTGTCTCCCCATTAGAATTGATTACTGACTAGCTGGAAATGATCGATAAGTGCTTAGGCATTCTTTTATTTGTTGGTAAAGAGTTCATGTTAAAGGGAATGGATTTTGTGAGAATTATATAGCTAGCTAACTCTGGCATTTTAAGTGTTGAGAAACCAGAGGACGAAGTAGGAACAAAGAATCAAATATTTTTTTAAAAAGCCTGATAGATTAGTTACCTCCTTCAAATGTTTTATTCTTTCTGAAAAGCCTTCAATTGTTACTGTTCTGTTTTTGAAATAAGAAATTTTACCATATGCTTTAGATAATGACTTAGACAACTGGCTATAGAGACTGTGTTAGCTGAATTCATCCATTCAAAATAATTTATTGAATGCTTCTTCTGTGACTGGAAACACACTGCTGGAGATACAGATATGCTTCTGTTTTGAAAGCCTTTACAATCACCTATAAGAGGAGAAAATGTGTAAGCAGCTCATGTTGATTAGTTATTACAAGCGTTTTCATAGAATTATGTATAGGATTTAAAGAGCCGTGCACGGAGTGACAGAGTACTATGACTGATGGGAATAAGCGAGGTTTTAAGAGGATTTTGCCTTAAATTTTTATTTTTTAAATGATGTTTGAGGTGCAATGGCTCACGTGTGAAATCCCAGCACTTTGGGAGGCCAAGACAGGAGTATCACTTGAGCCCAGGAGTTCGAGACCAGCCTTCACAACATAGTGTGGCCTCATCTCAAAATAATAATAATAAAAATAAAATAAAATAAAATAAAAATAAAAATATAAAGGTAAAAAAAGGTGTTTGTAACAACAATTAGAAAAAAGCAATTTAAAGAAGCAAACTATCTGAACAGATACCTCACCAAGGATGATATGAGAATGACAAAATAGGCATATGAAAACATGCTAACCTCATGTATCATTAGAGAATTGCAAATTAAAGTGACAGCAAAATACCACTACGCATCTATTATAATGGCAAAAACCCACAATTTGACAATACCAAATGCTGGTGAGGATGTAGAGAAACGGGAATTTTCATTCATTGTTGGTGGAAATAAAAAATAGCCACTTTGGGAAAAATTTTGGCAGTGTTTTACAAAGTTTAGCACAGTCTTACCAATACAATCTAGCAATTGCAATTCTAGATATTTGCCCAAATGAGTTGAAACTTACGCCCACGCAGAATCCTGCATATGAATGCACACAGCAGCCTAATTGCCAAAATTTGGAAGCAACCAAACTGTCTTTCAGTAGGCGAATGAATAAACTGTAGTACATTCAGAGAAGAGAATATTATTTAGCACTAAAAAGAAATGAGCTATAAAACCATGAAAAGACAAGAAGGAAACCTACTAAGAGAAAGAAGCCAATCAGAAAAGACCACATATTATATAGTTTCAACTATATGACATTCTGAAAACTAAAGTTATAGTGACAGTAAAAAGATCAATGGTTGCCAGGGTTTTGATGGATAGGTGTACAACAAGATTTTGGGGGCACTGAAACTATTTTATAATATACTATAACAGTGAACAGATGACACAGATGAATGATATTATCCATTTGTAAAAATCCACAGAACTACAAACACAAGGAGTGAAATCTAATAAAGACTAAGGACTTTAGTTAATAATGTATCTATATTGGTTCCTCAATTGTAAACAATGTACTACACGAATGCAAGATGTTAAAGGTAAGGGAAACTCTAGGGAAGAGGGTTAGGAAAGAGTATATGGAAAATCTCTGTACTTCCTGCTCAATTTTTCTGTAAATGTGGAAGTTCTCTAAAATAATTATGCCCATTAGTTTGAAATAGTGATAATTCTACGCCCAATAGGAAAATAAGAAAGGGACATGAGTGGAGAAAACAACAGCATTTCCCACCAAACTGGGATCAAAGGAGCTAGTGGGTATAAAAAAAAGCCTACCAAGTTGAACTATGAGTAGTTCTACGAAATGACACGGGGGAGGACTTGTTTTGGAGTGGGGGTGTCAAATCACAGAAACTTTAACTTGAGAGCTCAGTAATTAGAAATTTGTTGTAATTATTCTCTGAGAGTAATAAAGCAGAGGCATGAAAATAAGATTTTAACTTGTAAAATTCTCTTTAATTTCCTGTGTCGAGGCGGTAGAGTCTTAAAGGACATTGGTTAGGAGGCCATTGTCTTTGTGCAGGAGACCTTTGTTATTGATTAGCTCAAGTTATGCAGGGGAGGTAAAGAAGACACAACACGTTGTAGAGAAAGTGGAGGGAAGAGATAGATTCTAAAATAAATTTACTCTGAAACAAGCCAAGACAGATGCAAAGCCAACAGAGAACTTCTTCTTACGCTTTTTTCTCTCTACTGTTTGGATTTAAACACCACCACCTCAAAAGACCTGGGTTTCTATATATTTTAAAACACCTTATCTCAGAAATGTGTTAGTAATTGAAATTCAAGCTCTTATAAGTTATGGAGAATATAGTAATGATAAAAATGAAATTAGTCAATAGTTTAAATAATAAATTTTTATATTTAAATACTTAAAACTTAATTTAGAAAGAAAAAAGTGACAGTGTATTCTTATAAAATATGCATCTTCTTTCTGACATTTATGGGCAAAAGTAGAAAACAAATTTGTACTTGTACAAGTGTTTTTAATGTACATGAAAGAAATTATGGTGTAAACATGGTAAAAAAGCATCCAGATGTAAGATTATATGCATATATGTTTATAAATTATGCATTCTCCTTAATATCTTGAAATTTGGAATTCATAGAGTATACTCTATGTTGAAAATGAGAGATATTTCAGAAGAGGTGTTGGCATTTTAGAAATGCTATAAATATTAATGAGCTTGGCTACCAGTTAGCTGAAAGGACAAGTAATTCCAGAGGTGGATGGTAAGTGGTTGGGAGCCTAAGGAGGAAAATGACTGTATTTCAGATACTGATAAAATCAAGATCCAAAAATATTTTGGCAGTGTGCTAAAAGAGTGAGTCAGAAATTAGCAATAAAATTTAATAGGGCAAAACATATGTCTGCTAAAACAATCTGGTAGTTTCAAGGTAGGAGAGAGGTGAATGAATATCAGAAGCAAATAATAAAAAAGTGTTAAGTTTCCAGTTAATGGTAATTTCAGCAAAAATCAATACTAATGGATTACTAAATCAGTCTAAAATTGATCTGGAAGTTTGGTACCCAGAGAATATTTGGCAAAACTTTCCCATATTGGACAGGCCACACTACTGTTGGGTCTGGGTACCGGTCATTTTCAAGGATGCAGAAAAATTAAATCTGTCTAATGGTTATCATTTAGAAAATACAAGATTAAGGTCCATAAAGCATAGGTGAAAGAAGCAATTGCTTTTTTAATGAGACAGCCTCAGATAGTAAGCAAGAGCTATCTTTGAATATTGGAAGTGAACGAGGCTTACCTTTATTGGACTTAAATGATAGAACTGGAGCCACAGGAAGAAAGCTTCTGGAGGATAGAAATCAGCTTAGCAAAGGAAAACTTTCTAAGCGGTAATAAGGAAAGGGATGTCTTAGGAGAGAGTGAATTTCATATCATTTGAGTTTATGAGAAGAGCAGCGTTTTTTATTTTTTTTGGAGTGATGCATATATTGCATAAAGAATCCTTTCTATTTCTGGGCATTAATTAGAATGCTAAAGTAAATTCTACAGAAGAGAAGAAGAGTGACAAAGTCCATGGTTGATGTAGGACTCAAATTTATAAGCTACAAGTGGTTAAACAAACCAGCAAATGAGAATTGGGTCAAATTCAGCAACACATTCAGTTCCACTTAAGTGGTGGACGTGTGGTGATTGAATGTTAGAATATACTGAAAGGATTTAAAAGATATCATTGACTCTCCCATACGAGTCATAGGATTGATCTCAGAGACAAGGATATGACCAGAACTGGGGTCACCAGATAGACAGAACCCCAAGAGGAGGCAGTAGTAAATGCCGTGAGGATGCAGTATCAGAGTAACCACCTTATGGGTTCTTCCTGCCCACTGAATAGACAAAATCAATCCACTGAGACCATGGCATTGCAGTTAAAGTGAAAGTGTAATTAATGTGAGGCTGGCCACTGTATGTGGGAGACAGAGTTATTACTAAAATCAATCTTGCAGAAGGCTTGGAGGTTAGATATTCTTCAAAGATAGCTTGATGGGCAGAGGCCCAAGATATGGGTGCTGCTGATTGGTTGGGGATGGAATCATAGGGGTGTGAAAAATGGTACTCCTGGCTGAGTCTGCTTCTGGGTGGGGGCTGCAGGACTGGTTGAGGGAAGGACAGATCCTGGTTGGACCATCCAGTTGTCAGAAATGCAAAAGCCTGAAGGCATTTCAAAAGGCCAATCTTAGGTTAATTACAGCAGAACCTGAGGAAGTTACAAATCTTATGACCTCCAGAATAATGGCTGATAATCATTTAACTAAGCCTGTATCTTAGCAGAATTCAGGTCCCTCTCCACTTCCTAACCTGGTGGCCTTTCATTAGTTTTACAAGGCTGGTTTAGTTTTGGGGAAGGGCTACCGTCATTTAAACTATAAACTAAATACTTCCCTAAGTTAGCTTGGCTCATTCCCAGGAATGAGCAAAGACAGCCAGCCTGCGAGGCTAGAAGCAAGATGGGGTCAGCCATGTCAGATTTCTCTTACTGTCACGATTTTTGCAGAGGCAATTTCATCAGTAGACTTAAGTACAGACACACAGAATGGTGAGGTAGACCTTATTATTCAGTTGAATTACATGTCATTAAAGTAAAATCACATATGGAGATTTTATTCTTTATCAGCTCCATCCTATATAGTCAGGCTAAGGAAAACAAAACAAAAACAAAAATATCCTCCCTCTTCTCAAGAAATCCATCATCTCCTGGCAGAAGGAGTTCTGCCAAAATATGAATATAATACCACTTCTAGTTTTGAGCATATACTAGGCAAATACTAATGACAGGCACTGTATTAGGCCATTCTGGTTTTGCTATAAAGAAATACCTGAGACTGGATAATTTATAAAGAAAAGAGATTTAATTGGCTCACAGTTCTGCAGGCTGTATAGGAAACATGGCTTCTCGTGAGACTTCAGGAAGCTTTTACTCATGGCAAAAGATCAAACGAGAGCTTCTACATCACATGGTGAAAGCAAGAGAGAGAGTGGAGGGGGAGCTACCACACACTTAAACCACCAGATCTCATGAGAACTAACTCACTATCACTAAGGCAGCACCAAGCTGCCATGAGGAATAAGCCCCCATGATTCAGACACTTCCCACCAGGCCGTACCTCCGGCACTGGGGATTACAATTCAACATGAGATTTAAGTGAGGACAAATATCCAAAGTGTATCAGGCACTATGTATGATAAAAGCCCACATGATCTGGGCTAATCCTTTTAGTCCTCTGAATTACGTGTCATTATTAGCCCAACTTCCCCAGATTGGAAACAGAGACACAGAGAAGTTATGCAAGGTATGTTAGGTTCACGGTTAGAGTGAGGTAGAGCTGGACTCACACCTATAAAGTATAAAGGGAGAAAACATCCAGGTCTTTTTTACTTATCAGTTCGTAAGTCCAACATTAATGTTTTTAACTGAGTTGTGATGCCTTTATGAAACCTACAAAGGAACATATGACCTTTTCAAAGTCTACAAAGATCCCATTTTCCTTAAAATAAAATACAAAAATATCACTAGGACCAAAAAGAGTGCTATGGACTAGTAAAAAAACTATCATTTAAAATTTTAGGCCAGGCATGTTGGCTCACACCTGTGATCCCAGCACTCTGGGAGGCCGAGGCGGGCAGATCACCTGAGATCAGGAGTTCAAGACCAGCCGGGCCAACATGGTGAAACCCCATCTCTACTAGAAATACAAAATTAGCCGGGAGTGGTGGTGTGTTCCTGTAGTCTCAGCTACTTGTGAGGCTAAGGCAGGAGAATCGCTTGAACCCGGGAAGCAAGGTTGCAGTGAGCCGACACCTATGGCTGACTAATTCCAAAGCCCATGCTGCTAAATGCTATGCTAGAAAGAAAACTCTAATGCTAATCCAATGGGTATGCTAGGCAGGAAGAACCTAGATGCAGGGAGATCTAGTTCAACATCTAGCCATGAGGGAATGAATGTCAAGTTTTAGATTCAAGGAAGAGCAATGATAGACAAAAGGGCCCATATGAAATCTAAGGCAATGGAAAGGTCAAGTAATTATGTCACTCATTAAGAACACAAAAAGATTACAACTATTGAAAGATCTTAAACCATGAATAATTAAAATCTCAGATGCATATTTTCTGACTATCAAAAACTATAATATTGTCCTAATGTCACCTTTAGTAAAAGGCAGGCTTCTAAATAAGAGGAGAGGAATGAGACTTTATGTGGGAAACAGGACAGTTATTAATGTTATTAGTTATTAGTTATTCACATACTAGCTTAGAAAAATCTTGAAGCTATGGGCAAAGTTGTACAGTTACCTTGTTACATGTAAAAAATAATTTCATATTTTTGCATAAAGTGAGACTATTTGATCATGTGGTATAAATCTAAAGCTGAAAAAGAAACTAATTAAAAACAAAAAGTTACTCAATGCTGAGATTTAATTTTCAAATGAACTGCTAAAGTCAAAATTAAACTTTAGCAATCCTTTACATTCTTTGTCTGCTTAATGTTTTTAAGAGAAATAGTCTTCATAATTTTTGAAATTACGAATCTGTGTAATATACCTTGATGTAAAAAATACTTGTGGATAGATGTTTAAAAATCAGTCCATTGTTTTATAACATAAAAGAAGGGTTACCTTCATTAGTTTAGGTAGAAAATTTCTCAATAACCATAATGATGGATCATTTTTCTCTGAGAGAGAAAATTTTATTTTAAAAGTGGCTGCTGTAATTTTACAGGAAAATAAGAGATCTTTTTAAATGATAATTCTAGCTTATTACCATTTGAACAGCCTTTCTAACAGCCAAAGGAAAATGTATCTTCATCTTTTATTTCATAAATCCACAGTTGCCAACACTGTGCCCATACATATAGATGGAATGCAATTTCATAAATCTTAATTTGTCTTGAATAATGAAAGCCTGTGACTTCAGCACAAAATATCTCCAGAAACTAAAAATGGAATGTTGCTCGTCTTTTTAAACTGTCTCTCAAATTGTCATCTTCATGTTTTGTTTACTGACATAGAAAACCAATTTGAGAATAAATGTTAGAGAATACTGTGGGACGTGAATAAGAGATAAAAGGCTTCTTGAATCCTAGATTCACCCAGGGGTAGAAATCTATAAAATGGCACAATTCCAGCAAAGGAAATTAAAGGCCAAGCATTTGGGTACCATAAAAAAAGCCATAAAATCTGTGATGTGAAAAAAAAAAATAGAGAGAAATTCAATAGCAGAATTTTACATTGTGGTGATATATAAAAATGAAAAACAACCACGGAAGTTAGTAAAAGAGAGTAACTCTAAATCATCAAATATAATTGAAGCTACAATGAATGAACACTGGTGAAATCCACAACACGGCAAAGTGTAAAGGAAGAAATCATCCAGGTCTTATTTACCTCTCAGTTGGCAAGTCCAGCATTAATGATTGTAACTAAGCTGTGATGCCTTTACGAAACCTACAAAGGAATATATGACATTTTCAAAGTCAATGAAGTCTCCATTTTACTTTAAATGAAATACAAATATATCACTTGGACCAAAAAGAGTGCTATGGACTAGTAAGTATATATATAATTTATATATATATATCATGTGTGTATATATATATATATATGTATATATATATATATATATATATATATATATACATATATATATATATATCATGTGTGTGTATATATATATATATAATTTATACTAGTCCATAGCACTCTTTTTGGTCCCAGTGATATATTTGTATTTTATTTTAAGTATATATATATATATATAAAATTTAAAATTTTAGGCCAGACACGGTGGCTCATGCCTGTAACCCCAGCAGTTTGGGAGGCCAAGGCAGGCGGATCTCCTGAGATCAGGAGTGCAAAACCAGCCTGGCCAACATGGTGAAACCCCATCTTTACTAAAAATACAAAATTAGCTGGGAGTGGTGAGGCACGTGCCTGTAGTCCCAGCTACTCGTGAGGCTGAGGCAGGAGAATCGCTTGAACCTGGGAAGCAGAGGTTTCAGTGAGCCAAGATAGCACTATTGCACTCCAGTCTGGGCAACAAAAGCAAAACTCCATCTCTAAAATAAAATAAATACAATTTTAGATAGCTGGGTTTGAATGGAGACTGCAGTTTGGATTTGTGACACAAAGATAAAACTTAGATTTTAATTTCATTCAGGTAGAATGAGAGCTAGGAAGAAACTCCTCACATGATTCCATGATCCTCTGTTACTCCTTTAGGTGATGTGGTCATTCTCTAGGACAAAATAACTCTATTCAGGTTTTATGATCATAGCTGTCCTTAGGTAATGTAAGACGTTCACTCTTCCCCCACCTCCCCCATTCTTCAGAGTTTTGCTGGGACCTTTTCAACTTTTGGTATTCTCTATCCTTTACTCAATTCAAGATGTTCATAAATGCACACAAATGTCCAAAAATATAAATTTGTTCTACTTGTATGGGCTGCTTGACCACTATAAACTCCACCCTAAATCTACCTCATCCTTTTACTAAAACTTTGCTGTAGCTTTTCCAGCATTAGTAATTCACCTTCTATCTATAACATGTCTACGACAAAGTCAAAAATATATTTAAAGATAATTAAAGAGAAATATGAAAAGTCATACATCTACTAAAAAGGTTAAAATTAAAATGACTGAAAACACCAACAGTTAGAAAGGATGAGAATCAAATAGAAATCTAACATGGTGCAGGTGGAAGAGCATATTGGTATAACCATGTTGGACAACCATTTGGTAGTATCTAGTAAAGATACTCATGCATACGTTATCACCAACTTTTCTATTACTAGGCATAAACCCAAGAAAGCCATGTCAATGTGCACCAAAATAGATGTACAGAAAATGCTTACAGTAGCACTGAGTTTAAAGGTCAAAGACACAAAACACCCAAATGATCTAAATCCAATGGATAACTTATAAAAACCTGTAAATTTGTACAATGCTATAATATACAGCAATAAAAGTAAATAAAGTACTGCTATATGCCACTGCTTTTGCAAATGTCACAACTGTAATATTGAGCAGAATAAACTAGATCTGAAATGAAAAAGACCACATAATTGTGGTTCCATTTATATAAATTTCAAAAACAGACCCAACTAATTTCTGATGATAGAAGTCAGATAAGTGATTACCTTTGAGGAGGAGGTAGGTCGTGATGGAGGGGAGGCATGACAGGTGTTCTACTTGGATTCTACTGTATAATATGGATGATGAATAACTGAATGTTACTACTGTGTGTAAGTTCCCCAAAGCTGTGTGTATGCTTGTTATCTATCTATCTATCTATCTATCTATCTATCTATCTATCTATCTATCATCTGTCTACATATAAATACAGCTGATCCTTTTTAAAAGAAAGAATTAAACACCTAGAATGCCAACAGATAAGAATGATAATGTGAACCATGGTGGTGGAGGTATTGATGATGGTGATGATGGTGAAGTGAAAACCTTCTGCTCTGTAAGAAGGTATCACATATAATGTATAATTTGAATATAAAAAACTGTCTACATATGGTAGTTGAGAGCTTGAAACTCCAGTTTTAGGTAGACATAGATTTAGGTACAACTTCTACTACTTACCAATTATGAGATGTTAAGTTGTAGAGATATTATATAATGTCAGCTGTTTCTTCATTGCAAAATTGTGCTAGGGTGAAGATTAAATTGGGTGATCCATTTAAATGTCTTGCATTGATGTCAGTATTTATTGCTATAAATTATCATCATTGTTGTCTTATCTTGATTATCAATATTGCCATTACTGTAGCTAAAAGCTAGGTAGATGATAATTTTGGGGATAAGAGTTAGATTTCACCTTTGGGAATAAGAACTGGCTATGTAAGCAAATGAAGTTTCAAGTGTCCATATAAGCATTTATATACACTTTTTAAAAAATATCTTTTTTACCAGCATTATGTTTTTAAAAATGGTGTCATTAAAATTTACATAAGGACAAAAATTGCAAAAGTTGGGCAATAAACATGTTACACCCTCCCAAAGAGCTAAAACAACTGTAAACACCCTAATTATGCCTTTTCATTTCAACACTTAGCTTGTCTATTTAGTTTAAAGGAACATATGATTGAGATGGATGATTCACCAACATATGCATGCTTTATGTTTTTATCACTTTTACATCAACTGCTTCAATGTCCCTGAAAACTAACACTTCTTTATGACTAATGCCATAATTGGTCTTACTTCTAACTCAATTTTATAAAGTAATAAGGTTAACATGCAATAAGCTATTCATTTACTACACAATGAAATTCTGATGAGCTGGTAAAAATAATGCAGGTTAAACTGTTGGATGGCAGGCAGCACCCTCAAGTGGTAAGCTGAAATGATCTTTTACCTGTTGCTCTTTAAAAGTTCTAATGTAATGTATTCAAAACAGTTTATTGTACCAAATACAATCTACAAAATACATTTTATAAGTCTCAACATAACAAATAGAATGTGGTATGCACACACAAATCAAACTGAAAAATATTGAGGACCACCTGATTGATTTTTGTCTGTCATTTCTCTGTTTCTTAGTTACTTTTTGCCTCTAGTGAGTTATATTAAAACCTATAAAGGGCCAAGACAAGTATGATAGGTTACTTATAGTTATATCAAGGCAACAGAGTGTGTACAGGAAGGGAATGATATTTCGTCTTACACAGATTTTGAATAAAGAAAGCTAGGGATAAAGTTACCTGAAATAAAACTTTAAAAAAATTCTGTGAAGGCCCCACATGAGGAAAGAGGATATAAGGATCTAATCTGAGTTACAGAAGTAGCCCTGTTCTCTTATAATCATTAGGACTAACGATTATAGTCCTATAACTAGATGCTTTCTACAATTTTACTTCATCATTAGTGAATTTCTGACTTAATTTGTAGTTTTTAAAATATTATCTGTATTAATAAAGTAGACTGCTATCCTGGTATGTTTCAATACTTTGTATATAGAAAATACATAGGGACATCTATCTGATATTGAAGACTACAAATTGAAAATGATACCACTCGGATCTACTCTACAATACATTTTTTTTTGTTTTGATGAGAGATAAGGGTGGAAAGAGCATGATCAATAGTATTAATAACCTAGTTCAAAATTTTCTTAAAAATAATTGAATTTTCATTTTCATCACATGCAATGGTTTGCTGTTGTTAAACAATTAACTACATTCCCA
The DNA here is from genome assembly GCF_000001405.40 of Homo sapiens. Taxonomy (NCBI): domain Eukaryota; kingdom Metazoa; phylum Chordata; class Mammalia; order Primates; family Hominidae; genus Homo; species Homo sapiens. Next base: position 60,756,981 of record NC_000016.10, read on the forward strand.
TTATACAGTTTTTACTATTTTATAACATTGAGTAAGTCTCTTGGCTCTGTTGAGCCTCAATATACTCACCTCCAAAATGTGTACAATAATAGGCACATGATAAGCTTTTGAGACGATAAAATGGTAAAAGTGTTAAATCATTTAGCATGATGCTTAGCCAACGTTTAATAGAGCTCATTTATATTTCATGGCCTCCCTTTCTTTCTTCTTTCTTTCCTTCCCTTTCTTATATACCCTTTCCACTTTTCTTCTTTCTATGCATATGGGGAAAGAGAAAACAATACATAGCATTGTTAAGCATCAAGCTGTTTATATTTAATAACTTAAGAAAAAAATTAGAAAAGATATTTAAGAAGGTTCACAGATAATTGAAAACCCATTTTTAAATGGTAAAGTTCATCTACAATCTCTCAAATATAATTTTTCCAATATATTCTGTATAAGCAAATAAATAACAAATGACACAGAGAATAAAGATCCACTTGTCCTTAAAAAACATAGGGGGGTAAGCAGATTTGTGAAGGCTGCTAATGATTGTGGTCACTTGCCTGCAAATCATAATGGCCAAGGTCAGAAGTGAAATAACTTCCAAAGTGGTAACCTGGAGAGACTTCAAGTAGAAAGAGCAAAGTTGAATTGCACTTATCACCATGGTGGTGCCCATGAAAAGAGACTATTTTCAGCAGGTGGACATGTACATCCTCTCTGTCCAAAACCAGAGTTTCACCAGTATGAAACAATAGTAATCAGAAAACTTTTTGTATTTCACCCTAATGCTCCCTCATTTCCAAAAAATAAATATTAGTTATTCATTGTTTTATATATGTATATATAATTATATATACATAAAATTATATATACATATGAAATTATTATATATGATTAGAGAAACTTTTTGTCAAATTCCCTGCTACCCCATACCCCTTCCTGCAAGGGCAGTCAGCACATGAATTTTAAATTAACCTTTGTTAAACAGCATTACACCTGTACTCTGGGTGGCTTTCATTTTGCGTGAAAGGTGAAAATTGACATTTTTTTTTCTCAAAAGAATAGACTTTAAAGTCTGTTAACCTTAACTTCAATTTTAGTGCAATATTTTACAACATAAAACAAGACTGCAAGAAAATGTCATGCTGCTCTGAAATATGCACCCCCAAAATAAAATGACCCTTCCAGACGTTGGATGGCATTTTTAGGAAACGTTTAATGTGGTTTATGAGTCAGCCTCCTGACTTCAAATGAAACTTCAAGGTTTTTAGAGTTGTTTCTCAATTTTCAAAAATGCTATATTTTTAATAATGATATATGTTAAGTCAAACTTAACACTGGCTCAAATTTAAGAAACTAAAATTTTGTTTTTCTTAGTGAGAATATTCCAATTGAAATTAATGCTATTATTTATGCCTATGGAGTTGAGGAAACGCTAGCCCAATACATGGCTCTTTGGCATTTGAGAAAACAACAGAAACAAGAAGCTTTCACTCTGACCTTCTTCCACTTTATCCCAGGAAACATCATAAAACTCCGAAAGAATTTTCTGACTTTCCACTAAGGCTGATCATTAGACCCTCATTCAATAAAAATCTTCCCTAGACCAAAAAGAAAGGAACATCCTTTTCTCTGAAGACACAGGGACACAGAAAAGAATCTGAACAAACAGGTCTCACTAAGTTCCTCCCAGTTTATTACCATTAGATAATAGTTTCTTTTAATCCAATCATACTTCTCCATGACTATCCATTCATTCATCAAAACTAGCATAAAAATAAACACGGTTTACCATTTTGGGGGGTCTTCATTTCTTCATAAAGTCTCCCATATCATGTAAAATTTATATTAAATAAGCCTGTGTGCTTTACATTTGTTAATTTGTATTTCATTATGAGGGCCTTGGCCATGAACCTAGCAATGTGTGAGGAAAAGATCTTTTTCTCCCTTACAAAGCCATTATATAGATTTTTAATACCTAAAGAATATAGAAAGTAGGGCATACGGTTCTACACTGAAGAATTTCAATCCCTCTATCCAATGTCTGCATATTATCTATTTAGCCCTTAATTTGGTTATCCACTCTCTAGTTGAATATCTCCAAGTTAAGGAGAAGCTAAGAAATACTCTAATTTGTTAGTATAAATGTACTGCTAAAGAAAAAGTTCTTTCTTACCTTGAGATCTCTGTAATTCCCATACAAAGTAGTTGTTAAGAACAGTCTTTGCAACAGCACGTGTAGGTTAAATCAATGGTAAGCTGGTAAATTATTAACAATTGACACTTAGGGAGGGGGTAGTTTATAGTATTTGCCAATTTTATGTGGTGTGACTACATCATTTAAGGATAATTTCTGGCTACCTACATGACATTGGGTGAGGTGGAACATTATCCATTCCTGGAAGGTATATTATCCTTTCTCATGCTGCTAATAAAGACATACCCGAGACTGGGTAATTTATAAATGAAAGCAGTTTAATGGACTCACAGTTCCACATGGCTGGGGGAGGGAGGCCTCGCAATCATGGGAGATGATGAAGGAAAAGTAAAGGGACGTCTTACATGGTGGCAGGCAAGAGAGGTGGTACAGGAGAACTCCTATTTATAAAACCACCAGATCTTGTGAGACTTATTCACGATCACGAGAACAGTATGGGGGAACCATACAGTGGGGACACAGCCAAACCATATCAGGAGCACTTAGGAGGTGTCTCTAGCATACCACTGGTTACATCTCAACTCTAATATTGTACATAGAAACTATGTTATCTGAGATAATATATTTAAACATTTTTATATTTCCCTTTTCTCAAACATAAAGTGATATAAAAGGGCATCTTTATTCTATGTTGAGAAGTAAATGCTCTGAATCCTCCCACACATTACAATGCTATGTAGGTACTTATTATTCTCAATATTCTACTCATCTGCTGCTGCCTAAAACAGAATGCTTCAGATCCTCCTTCTATGTTATGGCTATGCAAATATTTAAATCCAGGCATTGTCTTTTCTCTAAATTACCCCTTTTGAATGATAAACCTTATTTTGTTATTTTTAGTTATTCAAAACTATATTTCCATGTACTATTCACATTCCTTAAATAGGCCACTCAAAAACAAATTCTACCTTATAGCTTACCCCACATATGTCAGATGCCAATATTTTCATGATAATTCAGTTTGTTGCTTCTCCTGAAGAAATTGGCAACAATGAGCTAGACTGACCTTTTAAGATTAGGTACATACACAATCCAACACCCCTCTTTTATCTAGAATGCTGGCTATGTCACTGACACACACTGTTTGCATGGCTCTCATAACTAGATTTGAATCTGAGTACTCTGAATTTAGTAGATGTTTGTCTAATAGAGGGCACTCAAAAGTAAACATAGCATTCCAGATGTGATATAAGGAGGTCTCGGTAAAGCAAGACCAACATTGCCTTTTTACTGAACACTAAATTTTTGGTGGCAGGAATGAAATTTACCACATTTTATTTTTCCATCATCTAAAAAGAAAATTGCTCTCCTGGAAATAATTCTTCTATTTTTTTTCTAAGCAATTATTTTTTGTATAGTTTCAAAAAGTATTTCTTAAGTTTAATATAATGTACTTGAAAATAGAGAATGCATTTTCTTAACATAAATGAAAAATCTGACAAGTTGTGGACCTATTAAAGACTGTATTTGTAACCAAAAAAAAGCAACAGTAAAAGACAAAGACTTGGATAGCTTCATAGGTGAATTATAGCATACAATTAAGGAAGAATTAATAGCAGTCTTTCCCAATTCTCCTTTAAAACATAGAGGAGAAATGGGCTCTTCCAAACTTATTTTATAAGAGCAACACAATACAGATAATAAAATTTGAAAAGGACATACGAGAAAGAGAAAATGACAGACCAATATCCCTCAGGAAGATAGATGCAATAATCCTCAACAAAATATCAGCAAATAAATCCAGCAATATATTAAAAGTGGGTTTATCCAGGAATGCAAACCTTGTTCCACATTAGAAAAATCAAATTATGTAAGTTGCAAAATCAACAGAATAGATGAAAAAAAAATTACTATCTCATTAGACAGAGAAAAAAATTTTTAGAGTTCAATATCATTCATGATTACACTCTCAGTAACTTGGAATAGAAGAGAAATTGCTCAATTTGATGAAGGGCTTAGAGAAAACCTACACCTAACATTATAATTAATGATAAAACAAATCTCTCAATTGTTGGGGAAAAAATCCAGTACAAATAATTCAAAGTATATTTCCAAAGCTGAACATAAAATAGATATGAAGATTTAAAAAAACAATTAATTTAAAACAATAAATGCATACACAGACAGGTTCTTTTCAAAATTGGTTATAAGAAAAAATATAATATCCTACATATATTTAGGCAAAATAAACAAAGAAACTACAGCTGGTCTCAGACTTCTCCTCTGAAACACTTAAATCCAGAAGGCAGCAGAGAAATTGACTTCAAAGTTTAGTTAGAGGAGTTGAATCAGCCTTAAATAAGGAACTCTTTCTGTTCAAAGTTAAGGAAAAATGAGAAAGTTCTTTTAAATATTCAGAATTACTTCTAAAAAGAACAATAGAGTGACTTAATATAGAAAGGATATCTTGGTTTACTTTTGGTGTTGGGTTTACATTAGAAAATATTTACTTATAAGTAAATCTGTATTGGAGTGTAATTTTTATAGAATTACCATATTTGCAAGTATAAAGGTCATTTTTGCATAATAACTGCACTTAAGCTTTAGAATCAGATGCTTGTCATTTAGATATGGCTCCTATGTGGATTTGCTGAATTACATCCATTTTCTGAATTGAGAACCAAAAATAAGCATATCAGCTGAGGGTAATTTTTATGAGAGCTGTATTCTCAACAAGCATATATATGCATTTCTCCCAGCAAATGATCTATCATTTTGTATCAATAATAATTAGTTTACTTGAAGAAACCCAGGTTTTTTATTCTAATTATTCACACTCATTATTCTATTTCTAACTATTTTCTTTCTGCTGGTACTTGTTTCTCTAATATCCCTCACATACCTGGCTGTATTAGTCTGTTCTCATGCTGCTAATAAAGACATTCCCAAGACTGGGTAATTTATAAAGGAAAGAGGTTTAATTGACTCACTGTTCCACCCGGGTGGGGAGGCCTCACAACCATGGTGGAAGGCAAAGGAGGAGCAAAGTCATGTCTTACACGGTGGTAGGCAAGAAAAAGTGTGTCAGGGGAACTCCCCTTTATCAAACCATCAGATCTCATGAGACTTATTTACTATGACAAGAACCACATGGGAAAAATCCACCCTTATGATTCAACTTTCCCCAACTGGATCCCTCCCATGACATGTAAGAATTATGGGAGCTACAATTCAAGATGAGATTTGGGTGGGGACACAGCCAAACCAGATCACCAGCCTTCAGAAGCCTTCAATGGTACCTCACCCATCATTTGTAAAATCTATTTATTTTCTATATTATTGAATAAATGTGAGCTTTAAAATAACATGTATAAATTATCAGAAATGTAGAATGAAGAAAATTTTCAAAATATACCCTATCATTCAGGAAACAGCAAAATAAACTCGTAAAATTTTTGGCATATTTATACCATCTATTTTTTTCTCAGTGATTATTAAACTAAACTACTATTTTTACCACATAAAGCAATAGTTCCAACTATTTCTCCAGCATAATGCCCTCTTTTCTACCTAACTCTTCCTTACGTTTCACCTACATAGTTCTCCAAATATACAAGTTATTTCTTACCCCCAAATCTTTGCTTTAGAGAATACCTTTGTATAATCTATCCCTCTTTTGCTGGCTAAGCACCACATACATTTCTTTATAATTATTTTACCTTGTTTTATTAAATTTATGAATAGTAGTTTTAGCTAAATCTTCATATTTTTTTCTATTCTAATTCAAGCATCTGAACAACAGAGGCTATCAACCTTCCTAACCAATACCTAGGGCAGAGGCTTAGAATATAGTAGATACTTGAGTCCACTTGCATTAAGAGATAAATGAAGAGGATTAGAATCAAATATAGGCACCAAAATATATCAAACTAAGCCTATAAAAATAAATAAAATCCACACACATGTTTAATTCTGTCTGTCGAAGCCCTATCCTATTGTATTTTATGTCTCTGGCTTATGAGAAGTTTTTGCGTTTTTTTTTTTTTTTTTTTTTTTTTTTTTTGAGACAGAGTCTCACTTTATCTCCCAGGTTGGAGTGCAGTGGTACAATCTAAGCTCCCTACAACCTCCGCATCCTGAGTTCAAGTGATTCTTCTGCCTCCGCCTTCCTAGTAGCTGGGATTACAGGTGCATGCCACCACGCCAGGCTAATTTTTGTATTTTTAGTAGAGACGTGGTTTCACCATATTGGCCAGGCTGGTCTCAAACTCCTGACCTTGTGATCCACCTGCCTCGGCCTCCCAAAGTGCTGGGATTAGAGGTGTGAGCCACAGCACCTGGTCCAGTTTTTGCATATTTTTATGAAAGGTGGCATCCCATCATGGACCATGATGTCCATGAGATTAGAGACTGAGAATAATTTTTTTTTATTTTTCCAAACAGGTTGGCTTCAGAGGGTGCCCACTCAAGCTTCAGACATATTGGGGCAAGTTTCTTATATAACATTTGTCTTACATATTTCTTCCTCACTCTCACCTATTTTGGATACCAAATTTTAAAGAAGCTACAGCATCCCACAGCCCCTTTATCCATGAAAAGATAGTATAAATTGTGTTAGAAACTTAGGAGAACAGACCTTCTGGAGGCCAGAAGCTGCAACAGAGGATTTTATTAGAAGTTATGTAGACAGGTTCTTTTATGCCTCCCAGCTTTGCTGTGCCTTGACTCTGTCATCTTGTTTATTGGGCATACGTTTTCACATTAGGCCTTTCCTAATTGCCTTGTCCTGTCACCTGTCACCGAAACCCCAACCTATAGGAAGAGGTGAATCCCTTCTACCATGCCAACAAAGGATCACTTGTGGGCTTTTGCCAAATCGCTTGTCACATGGTACTGGGTACTGCAGTTGTTGTTACTGTTTACTTGTCTGTCTGACCTGTGAGACTGCAGAGTTCTTTATGAAACCTGAATGTGCCTTACTCAGCTCTCTCTTTCCAGCATCTGACACTGTATCTGGGGCACAGCATATCTCCTTTCTGCTCACTCCCCTAGCAAATATTTCCTCCCTGGACTTCTCCAGGGAAGAGTGAAATTTAATCACAGATCATATAAGGCAAAGTCGCCAGCCCTACTGCTATGAGTGGAAGGCCACAAGGCTGAGTAAACCCATAGAGAGACTGTGACTTCGTCAGTTCAAACTTCTGTGAGCTTTTTCCAATCCCAAGAGGTGTCTGGATGCCTGATATTTTACCTTGATTCTGTGGTTTAAAGAAACCCCATCCATGTAAGAAAGGGTCCTTCTCTGGGAAAAAGAAAAAGAAAAAGAAAATCAGTGTTTTACCAAAACCGTCATTAATAAGCTAACCCATTTTGTTACTTACCAATGACATGTTTTGAAGTCAGTCATTTTTCATTTTTGGATCTCAGTTTTTTATCTGGCAATGAAAGGGATTGAAAAAAAAATCTTCTAATCTCCTTTTAGCCCTAACTTTCTGTGATACAGGGTAGGTAAATTGCCTACATAATATATACACAATTAACTTCTTTCCAAGCTCGAGATATAGGTCATAATAAATAACTTGCCTTTATGTTAGAGTTTCACCCCTCCCACCTTTTAAAGAGTTTTCAAATATAATTACACTTAAATTTTCTGTTTACCATCACTAAGCTTCTGTCAAGTAGGAAAGATAAATTTTTATTCATATATGCTTTTATTTAATCAGCAGTTACTCATTAAGCCTTTATGTACCAGGTGCTGTGTTAGACACCGAAAACACAAAGGTGATGGAAAGTCAAGTGACTGAGCTCCCATTTTATAAATTCTGAAATCTAATGGCTAGCCAGGATTAGAATCTATGAGTACCAAACCTGCTCTCTTTCTTTAAGTCAACCAACAAATTCAACTATGTGTGCAATGGAACTTTAAAGCTCCTCCCATTGCTGGGTTCTGCTTTGGAAGTCAAGATTAAAAAAAAAAAAAATCTGGGTATTTTTAAAGATGGTACTCAGCCAGAAATACATGTATTCATCTGAAAATTTGGCCTGGAAACAGATTCCACTTAGAAACTTGCTCTACTCCCCAGTTGCCAGAAGAGCTTCATAGCAGGAACATGACCCTAGTGAGAGAGATATTGAAGACATGTGAGTAAAAACACTGGAGTTTGGTGTGAAACAGCTGTGTGATTTGGGAGCCAAACTTTCAAGTAAAAAATAGAATTAATAGGATAGTTAGCCTAGTTGACAAGAAACCGAAAATTAAACATGTAACAGGCTTGTGTTTGTGTGTGTGTGTGTGTTTTCTTTTGGTCAATGCTGAAAAATGAATATATTACACCTACTGCAAAGGCAAAATACCAATGCTGTCAGCAGCAGCATTCCTGGACTCCACCTTTATTTTGCTGCAGGAAGAAGCAAGAAAACGTAGAGTTTTGCCCCATCCTTTCTTTTTCATAGCCACTTATTCCTTTTTCAGTTTTTCATCTCCTTTCAACCTGTTGTATCTTGTCTCATCTATTCATTTTTTATTTCCTAAAATGAGCATTGAAAACCTATTATTTCCTACCTTGTGTTAGACATGAAGAATAGATATGCAATAGCAAATAATGGAAGACACTGCTTTCAAGAAAGCCATGATCTTGGGCCAGGAGGTGAGTGGGGAGAAGAAACAAATACATGTGTGACCTGGAAATCGTTATGGTTCTTTATGGTTCAATCTTTGTTGACTATATATGTACAAGAAAAAGTCTTGATATTTAGAAAGTAAAAATTGGTGCAAATAGTTTTTTGTTTTGTTTTGTTTTGTTTTTTGTTTGTTTGTTTTTGAGACGGAGTCTTGCTCTGTCACCCAGGCTGGAGTACAGTGGCATGATCTCAGCTCACTGAAAGCTCCGCCTCCTGGGTTCACGCCACTCTCCTGCCTCAGCCTCCCAAGTAGCTGGGACTACAGGCACCCGCCACCACGCCCGGCTAATTCTTTGTATTTTTAGTAGAGACGGGGTTTCACCGTGTTAGCCAGGATGGTCTCGATCTCCTGACCTCGTGATCTGCCTCTCAAAGTGCTGAGATTACAGGCGTGAGCCACCGTGCCTGGCCAGGTGCAGATAGTTTTATATAATCTGAACATCCAAAAATTTACTAGAATTAGCACAAAGATTTGTCTGGTTATTCTCAAAAACTGGTGAAAGTACATATACTTGGATGGGAGGAGATCTATGCTCAGTATGCAGAGAAGGCTTGGTTTATAATTTTTGGGATAAGTTCTCTCTCACTCTCTCTCTTTCTCTCTCTCTCATACATTATGCTCCCTTCTTCTAGTTTTATTGTAGTATAATTGATCAATAAATTATATATATATTCAAGATATACAATGCGATGATTTGATATATGTATAGATTGTGTAATGATTACCACAATCAAATTAAAAAACACACTCATCACCACACATAGTTACCCTTGTGTGTGAGGGCAGGGGGAGGTGAATATGATGAGAACATAAGATCTCCTCTCTTAGCAAATTTCAAGTAAACAATAAAATATTAAGTATAACCACTATGTTGCACGTTAACTCCCCAGAACTTACTCATCCTGTAACTGAAAGTTTGTATGCTATCACCAACCTCTCCCAATTTCCCGCATTCCCCAGTCCCTGGCAACCACTATTTTATTCTCTGCTACTAAGAGTTTGACTTTTTTGATTCCACATATAAGTGAGATCATACAGTATTTGTCTTCTCTACATGCCCATGTTCACTGCAACATTATTCACAATAGCCAAGATATAGAAACAACCCAAATGTCTATCAATAGATGAACCAATAAAGAAATTGTGGTACACATATGCAATGGGACATTATTCAGCCATAAGTAAAGGAATTCTGCCATTTGCAACAGCATAGATGAACCTGGGGGACATTGCACAATGTGATATAAGGCAGATGCAGGAAGACAAATACTGTATGATCACACTGTATGCTCCCTTCTTTAGCAATGTGCTTGCCAATTTATTACATTATCTTTTCATGCCACCAAATAGGACCTCCATTCTGGTTGTGGCCATTAGACATTTTTTTCCCACTCAGCAGCAATCTCAAGTTCCTCCAGGATCATCAGAGACCTTAAAATTTCAGATTTCCTGTCTTCTCTTGCTTCTCAAGGTGGAAATGACTTGGGACACTCCATTATCCTCTCACTAATTACTTTTTCTGTAAGAATTTGTATCTAATTTCTAAAAAAATCAAGTTCTCCACCTTCTTATTTATTTCTACCTTTTATTATATCTATATTTCAATGTGTCAGAGAAGGAAGAGATCACTAATGGCAGTGGTCACTAATGGTTTCCCAGTGAAGAGGACTTTTGAAATTGGAGCAGGCAAGGACAAAGAGGGACAGCAAAGAAAGTGGTTGTCAATGCTTATATTTGGTTCTATGAATACCTCATGAATAGTGAACTGTTATTGGATAATATGACATGCATGTTATTTTCTAAAAATAATCTTCAGCACTGCAGAGAATCAGATATGTGAATTACATGTGGAGAGATAAAGAATGAGAAAGAAGGAGAATCCTGAGACTATCTAAGCTCTCATTACACAGAACTGTCCCTGTTCATCCATACTGTGAAACAAATGTGTTTCTCTACAAAAGGGGTCCTATTTCTACTTATGAGAGTACAATGTGAATTTCTGTCACTTTTAATTGAAAAGATTTTAGCTATTTCAAAATTATATTACCATCCTAGGTAGGTTGGCATGTTCATCCTAATCTCACAGTTGGTGAAACTGAGGCTGAGAGAAAAGGAAAATTATAAACTGCTACTAGAAAGATGCATTCTGAGCATATTGTGTAGACATATATGATAAGTGCAGTTTGTTCAAGGAAAAAGAAATCTTCCTGCAATATGGCGTGTATCTGTGTGTTCACCTGTATTGGTGTCTGTGTCTATTTATGCATGTCTGTGTGTGTCTGTCTCTATGTTTCTATGTTTCTATGACCACATTTTGTGTCCTGTGTGTGTGTGTATGGGTATGTGTTTGTGTGTGTCTGTGTGTGTGACAGAAAGATGAAAAAGAAAAATGAGATAGTCAAGGAATAAGGGGAAATTTGGAGCTGAAGAAATAAAGGCTAAGTGTGAAATAATGCAAATCCTATGCTTGACTTAACAAAAAGAAAAAAAAACAAAAATGAAAAAGAAAACCACAACAACCCATACATCGTTGTAAAAAGTGTTAGTGATGTCCTTTCTTTCCAAGCCACTTGATCTTTATGTCTCTGCTTTTGACTCATCTTTCAAGTAACTAGTAATCTGAAAAAAATAGATGATAGACTCACTTCTTTTTGTCCCTTCTAACAATTGCAGACAGCTCAACAAGATGGTAATGGCACCTCCTCCAAATTATTCTAGAAATACCACCAGGGTATCAGCTTCTCCCTGAACTGCCTTGTTATCCTAATGCAATTATGTAACTTTCTAATCTTTCTGTCAGTACATTAGTCAAGATGCAGGAGAAGAAAAAATACTGCCGTCCAGAAGGACTAAGTTTCTAAATCGCAGGTGACTGATTAACCACTGCTCCTGCTTTAGATCAATCTATCTGCTGCTGGCACCTGGAACAATAACTCCATAAGGTTCCTGAGCTGGTCAGCAATTTTATATTCACATTCATTTTCACAAATGTTATGACCTTCCTAAGCCAGCTTTCTTTCCCTTATTCCCTGTTCTAATCATCCTAAAGTTAGCTATTGGCTGGGATGTAGTCACATGTTAGCCAAGACACTAACATGGAGTCTGTCCAGGAAATAAGGAATGGATGAGTGTCTTGTAACCTACTTGGAGATGCTTTCCCAGCCTTAGTGTTGTCCCTGAGAAGAAGGCATCAAACTGTTCATGCAAATTTGCCTATCTTTCTGTGTGAGTACTTTTTTTCCATTAAGGGAACTAAAAATTGAAAGGAAAAGCACTTGAGGTATAAAAATCATAGAATTTTAAAGCTATATGGAACCGTAGAAATGCTAATACTTTTGCTTCAATTTTACAGGTGAGGGAAAAGAGAATCTCAGTAGTTAAGTAAGAAAGGGTGGTGTAATGAAAATAATCTGGAAGATACATACACAGAATGCCATCCCTAAATGGTAGATTAAAAGTCATTTTGCTTTTACTTTTTATCTCATTTCTTAAGTTTTCTACAATGAGCAAGTATCACTTTCTACCAAAAAAGGATTATCATTCAAATAATATGACATGGCAACAGCCAGATCTGAGTGTGAGTCCTATTTCTGTCATTAAATGCTGAGTGATCTCAGCAAGTTATTTCACCTCTCTATATTTTATAAATGAAAGCATTTGTATCCATTTTACAAGAGTGGTGTGAGTATTTAACAGAATAAAATATGGAGGAAGAAAAGCAAATGACTCAGCCCACCTCTTCCCTAACTTACTGAGATCACACCACACACACACACACACACACACACACCCAAAATATCCACAACTAAAGGCAGAGTGCCCACTGTCCATATTCCAAACTATGTGTGCCTTTTTCATGTTCAGTTTTCTCTGTAACTCTCAAGTTTGTTATAAGTTTCATGAATATATTATTTAAAAGTCCTGGGATTTTTAACAGCCTTGTGATAATCTATCACTTGGAGAAAAAGAAAAAAAAATGCATTAGAATGTATGCTGTGAAAACTCCAAGGGCAGATAAAAGATTTACCTTCTGTTTTTCCTTTTCCACAAATAGAATTGCTGCACTTAGGATACAGCAATTTTATTCTTGAATACCTTTTGGGAAAACAAATGTGATTTGAAAGTCCTATGAATTAAAAAAACCCTGAAGCTTCAGTTAATTATTTTATTTATTAGGTTGGTGCAAAACTAATCACGGTGTTTGCCATTTAAAGTACTTTTGCCATTACTTTAAATGGCAAAAACCGTGATTACTTTTGCACCAACCAAATATTTTTTTCCTATGAGATACAGAATTAATGGATTAGAATTGATACTGAAAAATATATAGACCCTGTTGCTCAAGCAGTCAGCTGGAGAGTTCTTGCTCCTGATTCAATGCTCAAGGCCCTGCAGTCAGCTGGGGAGTTCTTTCTCCAGACTCAATGCTCAAGATCCAGCAGTCAGCTGGGGAGTTCTTTCTCCAGACTCAGTGCTCAAGGTCCTGCAGTCAGCTGGAGAGTTCTTTCTCCTGACTCAGTGCTCAGGGTCCTGCAGTCAGCTGGAGAGTTCTTTCTCCTGACTCAGTGCTCAGGGTCCTGCAGTCAGCTGGAGAGTTCTTTCTCCTGACTCAGTGCTCAGGGTCCTGCAGTCAGCTGGAGAGTTCTTTCTCCTGACTCAGTGCTCAAGATCCAGCAGTCAGCTGGAGAGTTCTTTCTTGTGACTCAGTGCTCAAGGTCCTGCAGTCAGCTGGAGAGTTCTTTCTCCTGACTCAGTGCTCAAGGTCCTGCAGTCAGCTGGAGAGTTCTTTCTCCTGACTCAGTGCTCAAGATCCAGCAGTCAGCTGGAGAGTTCTTTCTCCTGACTCAGTGCTCAAAGTCCTGCAGTCAGCTGGAGAGTTCTTTCTCCTGACTCAATTTGACTTTCCCACATTCTCTTATCTGAAACACATTAAAATACAACTTCAGGTACTGGAGACTATGTCTTAAAAGAACACTAATCTGATCTTTTGTCCTAAATTTATTCATGCTTACCTGTTCTCGTCTTCAGAGATTCACTGATCCTCATTTGATTCTGACATTTCACTTTCAAAAAAATCATTAGTCTCCAAAACTCAATAACTCACTCAACTTCTCTCCCTGGGTTAGAATATCCCTCAGACAAGCTGATGAGATTCCTTGCACAATCAGTAAATATGACCACTTTCTTCCTTCCAGTCCTGTGAAATGTGGATCCAAACAGCTTGACCAATCTTCCCTACTGAGCAAGAGATTCAAACGTGGTGAAGTTACAAACAAGCAGAAGCTGCTCTTGTTGCTGGAATTAAGGGACAGGAGAGACCGATGGGTGGGCAGGAGGATTTTATTTAGGTGCACCGGCCCAGCAGATTAACAACCAAAGGCTGAGCCCTGAACAAAGACAGGGCTTGACTTTTATACATGCAACCGAAGGGGGTTGGCCAGTTTAGTGGTGCGAAACCTGCAGGGTGAGCAAGCAAGCTTACAGAAGCGGACCAAAGGCAGTTTATCAAGCAGTGACAGGTGTTGCAACTTAGGCACATCTTGTGACCTTCACCATACTGCACAGATGGGAAAACAGGAAGTTGCAAAATTCTTACAAACTTGCAATAATAGTTATGAGGACAAAACAAAGAACAATCATAAAAGAAGGGGGAACTTGTTAAACTTGTTTTCCTCATCCCTGCTTCAGAATTGAAGGGAGAGGCTCTGGAGCCCATCCCTTGATGGCCCTGGCTCTGCAGATAGTGCTATCAAAGCCCTAACAGAGCCCTGCCTATCTCTGGGTCTTGGAGTGAGTTAGCCTAGAAAACCTGTTTTTCTTTATACCTTCTGCTTCACTCTTGCTTTTTGTTTTAGTGAACTTTCTTCTCCTCATTTGTGTCTAGGGTTATACAATAATTATTGAGCAGTAGACCCAGGATTCTAGGCATGGACACTACTGTGAAGATGATAAGGAATAAAAGTTTTTGTCTCTTCTGTGATGACTTTACAAATAATGTGAAGAAGGGAATCACTCTACATTCTATGGTGTGATGTGGGGAGTAACTGGCACATATGTCTCTATTTATCCTTTTTTATTTATCTCTCTCTCTCTCTCTACACACACACACACACCCACACCCCAGTAAGAATACCATCCTGCTTTGATCTCCAGAACATTTTATCCCCTTTCTCACTCTTTCTCTGATTCTCTATTCCATTCAAACAATTAAGATTTATTCAGTGCCTTTCAATGTCTTAAGAAAGGCCACAGTGAAAGAAAGATGCAGCCAGGCACGGTGACTCACACCTGTAATCCCAGAACTTTGGGAGGCTGAGGTGGGTGGATCACCAGGTCAGGAGATCGAGACCATCCTGTCTAACATGGTGAAACCCCATCTCTACTAAAAATACAAAAAATTAGCCAGGCATGCTGGCACCTGCCTGTAAACCAAACTACTCGGGAGGCTGAGGCAGGAGAATGGCATGAACCCAAGAGGTGGAGCTTGCAGTGAGCCGAAATCATGCCACTGCACTCCAGCCTGGGCAACAGAGTGAGACTCTGTCTCAAAAAAAAAAAAAAAAAGAAAGATGCAGAACCTAACCTAACGTGGAACGTAAAGGTCTAACATTCCTGATGTGGAATGTAAAGATCTTCGTGTATCCTCCTTTTGCTATTGCTAGATATCTTTCTTTTGCTGGCTTCCTTTATAAGCCATTCCTTCCATTCCTCTCCAGTCCTTCCATTCCTTCCCCCTTGGGATATTTCCTGTCCTGAATAGGGCTGCAATCCCCACATATATATGTCTAGGCATTTCATAAGTTTTTTAAAGCTTAGCGTTTTCATCTGCTCTTGCTATACTCTGTGAAATATACATACATTTTTGGAGGAATTGAGGTAATTGAAAGAGAAAGTTAAGAGTAGTTGAAGGCTATGCCATTCACAAGCATAAACAATTTACTCAAAACTATCATTGTTTAAGTAGAGGAGGTTCAATAACTCAAATCCCTGATCTATTCCTCTGCTTCCTTGTCCCAGTCCTGAGTAGTAATTGACGGCATAATACAGCATGTTCTTAGACTTTTAATAAAAGACTCCAAATGGATTAAAATATGAATCTAAAATGTAAGTGATACGAAAAATCTAATATCTTCAGTACTAAATGAAGCCATGGGTCAGAATTTAAGTCATCCTGTGAGTATATTTTGAGGATCATCTTGGCATGAAACTATAGTTTCACAAAAAACAGCTCATCACTGTACAAAAGACCATAATACAAGGTACAAGGCTAGAAACAAAGTTGACAAAAGAGTGTTACAAACCAAAAATATCAGAATTTCTTAAACTTCTCTGTCTCTGAGGTCTTGTTTTTTGATGTGTATCTAAGTCATTTTTCCCTCTACAACTAAATCACTCCTTGGTTACAGACCAGAAAACCAACACTGAGAAATATTCTTCAGGGAGACACAAAATAATGCAGCTTAGAATAGGCTTTTCCCCCTATTTTTTATTTTTTATTGAAAAAGGAAGTATAACTATCCAACTGGGGCAAAAAAAAATCTGTCAGCCATTATCAAAATGATTTCCTTAAGAGCCATTTAATAAGATTCATTAATTTAAAGAGATTAAAAACAGCCTGTATTAAAGGACATTTTGACAGAACAAAATAGGTTATAATAAAAGCTGAAAATCAGCAGTCTCTCTTCTTATCAAAGATGATGCAGAACTCTCAGCAAAGTCTTCTTCATTCAAAGTGAAATTCAAGATCTGATTCAATTAATATAACTCTTGAAATGAAACAGAAAATAAAGAAAGTTTGCAAGAGGTCAAAGTACTGAATGTACTACTGACGAGAGCACAAAACATTCAATATTTTCTTAGGGAGATTTCTAAAATGAGATGGCAAGGATGAAGAAGGAGGTGTAAAACCACACACTTTGAACAATGGAAAAAGCAACCTGGGCTAGAAACAAAACTAACTTTTAACAAGCTGGAAACTGACTTTTTTATTCCCAACTACCTTTGAAGGAGAAATTGTTTATTAGTGAGAGTATCATTTTCTCTCTAGGACATGTTTCATTGCAATGTCTTACTGAAATGCATTCACCATCTTTTTAAATACAGCTCATGACAAAGATATGTACTAAATGTATCAGAATGATTGCCTGTGTGGAGGATAGTGATATTGTGTTAGGTGTAAATGGGAAAAAATATCTAAAATAAGAAAGGAAATAAAAAGAGATATGTATATGTGTACTTCTCCAAAATACATACATGCATATATGTACGTAAGTACCTGCATACATGCATGTATACAACTGGAGAGTTAAGATGTGTGGATTCTCAAGTACCTGAGCAAATAACTGACCACAGAGATACAAAGTTAGAAGGCAAAATCAGAAGGCATTTGCTAGAAAGATAGGAGGAAAAGTTAGAAGGCATGTGTTAATTAGGTCTTCTGGGAAGCAGATGCTGAAATGGAGGGAGGAATGCAAAAGGCTTATTGGGACTTAATGTTTTCAAAAGAGGGAGAAAGCGGCCGGGCGCAGTGGCTCACGCCTGTAATCCCAGCACTTTGGGAGGCCAAGGCGGGTGGATCAGGAGGCCAGGAGATCGAGACCATCGATCTAACACGGTGAAACCTCGTCTCTACTAAAAATACAAAAAAAAAAAAAATTCAGCCGGGAGTGGCGGTGGGTGCCTGTAGTCCCAGCTACTCCAGAGGCTGAGGCAGGATAAGGGTGTGAACCCGGGAGGTGGAGGTTGTAGTGAGCCCAGATCGTGCCACTGCACTCCAGCCTGGGCAACAGAGTGAGACTATGTCTCAATAAATAAATAAATAAAAATAAAAAAACAAAAGAGGGAGGAAGAGTGGTTGAGCAGAGAAAGCTCCAATTCAAAATGCAGATTCTTTCCTATGAAAAGAAAGAGGAGTGAAAGCTGGATTGGAAAATCTCGGACTGCAGTGCAGATTTGGGAGAATTTCCTGGGTAGCTAAGCGGGAGAGGCAAAGCAAAGATTCCTCATGAGTCCCAGGTTGGAGAGAAATGGCCAAACTAACACAGCAACAGAAAACCAAACACCGCATGTTCTCAGTTATAAGTGGGAGCTGAACAATGAGAATACATGGACACAGGGAGGAGAACAACACACACTGGGGCCTGTCGTGGGGAGGTCGGGGGAGGGAGAGCATCAGGACAAATAGCTAATGCATGTGGTGCTTAATACCTAGGTGATGGGTTGATAGGTGCAGCAAACCACCATGGCACACGTTTACCTATGTAACAAATCTGCATGTCCTGCACATGTATGCTGGAACTTAAAATTAAATTAAATTAAATTAAATTAAAAAAATAAAAAATAAATACCTCACTTTTATCCCCCTATGATTACATTTCCAACCTGACCAATCAGCACTCCTCACTTCCCGAGCCCCTATCCAACAAATTATCTTTAAAACTCTGATCCTCAAATGCTCCAGGAGATTGATTTGAGTAATAATTAAAGTCCAGTAAAAAGAAGGAAGGGAAGGGGAGGGGAGGGGAGAGGAAGGGAAGGGGAGGGGAGGGGAGAGGAAGGGAGGGGAGGGAAGGGAAAGGAAGGGGACGGGAGGGGAGGGGAGGATGAGGGGAGGGGAGGGGAGGGAAAGGGAAGGGAAGGGAGAGGGGAAAGAAAAAGAAAGAAAGAGAGAAAAAAAGAAGGAAAGAAAGACAGAAAGAAAGAAAGAAAGAGAAAGGAAAGAAAGAGAAGGAAAGAAAAAAGGAAAAGAAAGAAAGAAAGAGAAAGAAAGAAAGAAAAAGAAAGAAAGAAAGAAAGAAAGAAAGAAAGAAAGAAAGAAAGAAAGAAAGAAAGAGAAAGAAAGAAAGAAAAAGAAAGAAAAGAAAGAAAGCCAGCCAAGTCGCAGTATTTTTGTTGGGCTCAGTCATTGGCGAGGGCCATGCTAGAGGGGCATGGCCTTGGCAGGAAAGCTGAGATGGATCCTGAGGACATTAGCAACTAACTGCACACCTTTACTCTGAATGAAAATTTCTCCAAGGAAGATTGAGCAGCACGCTACCATGGCTGCCATTGTAAACTTTTCTCCCTTCGGCATCCACGGCACTTTTCGCTGTTTTCAAAGCTTACCCAGTTTCTCATATATGTGTATGTGTATATATTTCATGAAATAATTCTGTTTCATTGTAACTATTTCATATATATTTTTAAATATAGCCTAATTTATTTCAAAGACTGTTTTAAGCCTAGCATCTCTTTTTATAGCACTTCCGGTATTTTTCACTCTTTTGAAGATTTATTCATCATCTTTTCCATGAGTAATTATTGAAATAATATTTTCAAAAATTGTCCTTAGAATGTAAACTTTCTATGGCCATGCCTGCCTGAAAACATAAATGGCTGGGTATGGCATTCTGGTTTCAAAACCATTTCAATTTTAATTGTTCTTTATAATCCTGCCAAACAAGTTTTTTCTTCTAAAATTAAACTCATTTAAAAGAATTTGAGATAATAGTACATTAGCATGCAGAAGTGTGAGAAATAATTCAGAAAGCTCCTAAGTACATTTCACCAAGTTTCCCCCGATGGTAACATCTTGCAAAAACAAAGCACAGTATCACAACCAGGAAATTAACATTGATTCATACATCCAAGAGAACACGTTCATCACAGAAAGGATCCCTTTTCTTGTCCTTTTATAGCCATACTTACCTCTCTCCCACACTTACTGTTGTTAAATTATGGCAATGACTAATCTGATCTCCATTTCTGTAATTACCCATTTCAACAATGTTTATAAATGGCATCACTCAATATGTAGAAGTTTTGGAGTTGCTGTTTCACTCAGCGTAATTCTTTTGAGATTCATTCAAGTTGTTGGACTTACAAAATGTTTGCTCATATTTTAGTAGTATTCTATGGGATGAAGTTACCATAGTTTGATTAATAATTTGCTCACATAAGGGCATTTATGTTGTTTCCAGTTTTTAGTTATTTCTGATAATGCTGCTATTAATATTTGTTCATAGGTTTTTGTGTAAATATAAACTTTAATTTTTCTGGGATAAATAACTAAAACTGCACTTGCTGGTTTTGCATGATATTTGCATGTTTAGATATACAGTTGACCCTTGAAAAACAGAGATTTGAGCTGCATGGATCCATTTATATGTGAATTTTCCTCAAAAATATATTGTGAAAGTTTTTGGAGATGTGTGACGGTTTGAAAAGATTTCAGACAAACCGCTTAACCTAGAAATATTTTAAAAATAGGAAAAAGTGGGCCGGGCGCGGTGACTCACGCCTGTAATGCCAGCACTTTGGGAAGCTGAGGCGGACGGATCACGAGGTCAGGAGATGGAGACCATCCTGGTTAACACGGTGAAACCCTGTCTCTACTAAAAATACAAAAGAATTAGCCGGGCGTGGTGGTGGGCTCCTGTAGTCCCAGCTACTCGGGAGGCTGAGGCAGGAGAATGGCGTGAACCCAGGAGGCAGAGCTTGCAGTGAGCCAAGATCGCGCCACTGCACTCCATCCAGCCTGGGCGACAGAGCGAGCGACTCGATCTCAAAAAAAAAAAAAAAAAAAAAAAGGGAAAAAGTTAAACATGCAATGAATGCAAAAAATATATGCAGATTCTAGCCTATTTATGTGTAGTTGACTGTTTCTGTTTTTGTTAAGGTTTCTAGTCAACAGTAGGTTATTAGTTAAGATTTTAGAAACTCAAAAGTTGGATGTGGTTTTTTGTCTGTGTGGGAGGTCAGCACTACCAACTCCACCTTGTTCAAGGGTCAACTATATAATAAACTGCCAAAATATTTTCCAGAGTAGCTGCAGATTCCTACCATCAATATATAAATGATCTATTTTCTAGAAAATGCTCACCTGCATTTGGTTTCATCATGATTTTTTAACCAATCTGCTAAGTGTGTACTGGTATCTCACTGTGCTTTTAATCTGCATTTCTCTGGTGGCTAATGATGTTGAACATCACTTCTGTGTGTGAGAAATGTTTGTTCACAAGATTTTCCCATTTTTTACTTGGATTGTGTGTGTGTGTGTGTTTTACTTTTGAGTTTTAAAAGTTATTTATATATATTTTAGAAGTAATCCTCTCCCGGGCATGTAGTTTGTAAATATCCTCTCCCAATCTGTAGCTTGTTTTCTCATCTTCTTAACAGAGTTTTTCATGAAGCACTTTTCTATGCTTATTAATGTCCAGTTTATCATTTTTCTTTTTATGGATGGCATTTTTAATGCCAAGCCTAGGAACCTTTGCTCAGCCCTAGATCTTAAGAATTTTTCCCAATGTTTTTATTTTCTAATGGAATTATAATCTTGCCTGTAATTTTTCATTTTAGTCTATGATCCATTTTGAATTTATTTTAGTATAAGGTGTGAGGTAAGGTCAAAGTTCATTTTCTTGCCTCTGGATATACAATTGCATGTGGACCACTTTTTAAAAGGCTCTCCTTCCTCCGTTAAAATCTTTTGCACCTTACTCAAAATCACTTGAGCATATTTGTGCAGATCCAACAACTTTTAAGGAAAAAATGGGTATCTACATTTCATATGATATTATAGAAAAAGAATGTGGGAGATGGTCCCTATGGCTAATCAGTACAATAACGCTTTCAAACCCAGCTTATCTAAGCCAAAGGGTTTTCATTTCTTACCATAAAAGGAGCTGTGTCTAAGGTGTCCTTCAAGCTCCCACTGTGATTTGCACACACTAGGTGCTCGAAAAAATTTTTAAAAGTGCCTCACTGTATGGCTGATTCAAAGACTAGTTAGAGTACATTGGATTCCTTAATTGGTAAAAGTTCGAAGAGCAAACTTGACCCTTTTATCTTGGTTTATGCATTACAAATTTAAGTATCTGCAAACGGTATCTAGTTTCAAAATATTTTCTTCACCTCTCTTGAATGATTTCTCCTTGGGTGATGTGTTATGATGCAGCTATTTTTAAAAACCTCACAGTGCTTTTCCAACTTGAAGATAGGCTATTAAAATAAAGATAAAGCCTGACATTCTGGAAAACAGGGATTGCTAAACCATTAATTTAATAAGTAAATTCTATTGTGTTGTGAGACTAAATTTGAATCGGATTTTTATTTGATTATCAATCCATACAGGCCTCTATTGTCAGGTAAATATTGAGAAGGGAGAGATGTTCACTACCTATAAATTTCACCAAATGATTTGCCTCAGAATTCCTGGAATGTTGTTAAAAATTAAGAATAAATGATTCTACTTAAGACTATTTAATCTAAATACGCTGGTGTCATACTCTGAAATCTTGATAAATATTCAATAAAAATTATGCAGCTAACTTTTTCATGACAACATTTGGGAAACATAATCCCATATGCATATTCCAGGAAATAATGTTCTGAGATCAAAGCATCTGGTTTATATAATATAAAGTTGCTAATATAAAGTTCTTAAATAACTTAAGATAAATATGAAAATGTTGTATAACATGTATCTAAGTTTTTTGTTGCTGTTGCAGTTGTTTTGGAATGAGGATGTCCAGTTTTTCTAGAACCATTTATTAAATGATGCTCATTTAGTGTTTAGGCCAATGCTGCAAATGCAAAAGAGCAAAGAACATGAACTTAACACTCACATGAGATTTCTCAAAGAACTAAAATTATAACTACCATACCACCCAGCAATCCCTCATATTGAGTGTTTATCTGAAGGAAAATAAATCAGTATATCAAAGGGATACATGCACTCCCATGTTTATTACAACATTATTTACCATAGCAAAGATATGAAATCAACCTAAGTGTCCATCAATGGATAAACACATAAAGAAATTGTGGTATACATACACGATGGAATACTCTTTGGTCATAAAAAGAATGAGATCATATCATTTGTGGCAACATTGACAGAACTTGAGGTCAGTGTGCTAAGTGAAATAAGCCAGGCACAGAAAGACAAATATTGTATGTTCTCACTCATATGTGGGAGCTAAGACAATTGAACTCATGGAGGTAGAGAATAGAATGAGAGATACCAGAGGTTGGTAAGTGTGTGTGGGTGGAGATGGGAATGAAGAGAGGTTGATGAATGGGTACAAACATATAGTTAGATATAAGTTCTAATGTTCAATAGCAGAGTAGGTTGACTATAGTAAATAACGTATTATATATTTCAAAGTAGGTAGAAGAGAGGACTTGCAATGTCCCCAGCACATAGAAATAATAAATACTCAAGGTGATGGATACCTCAAATACACTCATCACCACACATTCCTTACATGTAACAAAATATCACATGAACTCCATAAGTATTTATAAATATTATATGATTTTTAAAAAGCTTACATAAATTATCATTTTCTCTGATAAACTGAGCCTATTTAACCAGACAGGTGCAGCAGAGATTTCCTGTTCTTCTTATCCATCTTTGGTAAAATAGCGAAATTCTGTAATGCAAGTTACTGTTCAGTCAATAAACATATATATCAATATAGAGTAAGAAGATTCATACACACAAATAACATTAACCTTCTTGTCTAATAAATTTGTTACCATAATGTTTATTTTTTCCAAAAACTAAGACTATGTGCTCATTAGAGATAATATAGAATATTGAGAAAACTGTCAGCAATCAAACAGATGGCCCTTAATTCCACCAAATAGAAGTTACCACTGCCTGAAACACACAGGCACACACACACACACTAAATAGAAAATACGTTCAGTTTTATTAAGTTTAGGTTGTAACATATGTATGCATAATTTTATGTTATGTTTTTATATTTCTATTTTTACAGTATAACTCTATATTCTGAATTTAGATCCCAATATATTTATTTGTGTATTTGTGAGTGTGTGTATATACATACATATATATATGTAAATATATGGTAAATTTTATATTCTGAGTTTATTTTTTCATATACCATTAAGGTATTAATAGTTCTCTATTGGTTAACTTTTCTCAACATTTTCAATTACCTTCCACATATCCAAAATTTAGCATCTCAGTTGGAGATTTAAACAACAGCTAACTCATTCACTGCAATGCATTGTTCCTGCACTATGTTAGTAGAAATTCTCTATTTTTTGTTGGTGGAGGATGGTTGTCATGAAGATAAAGGCCTGCCTCACCTTCCAACACATTAAGGATGAGTGTATCCTTCTATCTTGTGGAACAAATGACACGTGATATTAGAATCTTTGGGAGTATCTTCAACAGGATAAATATATATCCAGGGGTAAATTAATTCAATATTAAAGGTAATTTACATATAGTAAAAATAACTTTTGATAATCTATTATGTGCAAAGCCTCCAAGGATAAGAAGTCTTCTTAAAACTTAAGGATATTACAGATTAGCTACTCAGTGAAGACACTTACAGATGGAGGGAGAAAAGTGAAAGCATGGTGCTTATCTTGTGTGATTATGTAGGAAGTGTAAATACAATCCAGATTTAAATTAATGAGTGTAAATGTGGTTATAGTCGACACCCAATTAAAAAGAGGTAGCTAACATTTAGTCAACATGTTTATCTTCTCTAAGCTAGATAGTATAAGAAAATAACATGTAATGGAGTGGCTATCCTCAGTCGAGGATATCAAAAGAGATTTCTATGAACTGTACTAATCAAGCTTTAAAAGGTATATTGGATTCAGTGTTCATAAAATACTAAAGTGGGCATTTCCAAGCAAGTGAATGGTATGAGCAAGAGCCCATCAGTGACAATAAACAATTTGAGAGGCCAGGGAACATAAGTAGACAGAGATAGAAATTTGTTTTGTTTTGTTTGTTTTGCTTTTTCATAATTTCTAACAGCTCATTGCCCATCTGAGAAGCAAGCTTATTAGGGCATTCCATTTGAAAAGTAGTGTGCTATCCAAGATGCTTAAACTGGTGTAGTCTTTCAGCTTGTCCTCATGTTCTTGAACTTCCACACCTTTCTTAGCCCACCTCAGAGTCAAGTCTGCTAATAATCAAGAGAAATATGCATGAAATTAATAGATGGACAGATGAGAGACATACTAAGTATTTTATAAAATTGTAAAAGTTCAGAGGTAAAATACATCCTTTAGATTTTAAGCCGTCATCTTTCTGAGCCTCAAAGTTCTTTCATGTATAAGTTTCAGGTGAAAGGGAAAGTAAAAGTGAATTCTCATCCGAAACACAGGAGATCCAGGATTTCTTACTGTCCCATCCCACACAACAAGCTTTGAGACAACTATTTTTTAACTAAATCTAATTAAATTTATAAATTATTTCTTAATTTTGTTGTTTCATACTACTTTTTGAAGTGAGCTTATACTTTGGTGATTAATTTTGGGAAAAATTGGATGACGATTATCTCAGGTTGACTCAGTTCCCACCACTCCAAATTGATCTCTTATTTCTATAAGACAGAATAGTTCTTCTCAGATCAAAACACTGCAGTAGCAAAGAAAAATAATTAAAAATACTTACATCTCATCAGTTTTCTATAATATATATATATTTTAAATGACACAGTAAATAAGTATTCTAAATTTTTCAAGCTCAGATTTTTTACTTTTCTTTAATCCTAAATTCTAATCTATCAGTAAACCTTGATTTTATGAGGTTTTGTTGCTGTTATGTTTGTTTTGTTTTGTTTTTTAAAAGAGATGGGGTCTTGCTCTCTTGCTCAGGCTGGAATGCAGTGGCATAATCACAGCTCACTGCAGCTCCTACTTCTGGACTGAAGGGATCCTCTGGCCTCAGCTTCCCAAGTCGCTGGGATTAGGGCAGGAACCACTGCATCTGACTTTTTTTGTTGTTGTTAAACTGCTACGTAGATGCTATTGCCATTTACTGAAATGTAGATTACCAGAGAAGAATCTGGTTTGTAGAGTAAATCATTATCTCAGCAAAGAAACTGATATGATTTGGTTGTGTCCCCATCCAAATCTCATTTTGCATTGTAGCTCCCATAATTCTCACATGCTGTGGGAGGGACCTGGTGGGAGATAATTGAATCATGGGGACGGTTTCCCCCATACCGTTCTCATGATAGTTAATGCATCTCACAAGATCCGATGGTTTTATAAGGGCTTTCCCCTTTCACTTGGCTTTCATTTGCTTTTGCCTGCCACCACATAAGACATATCTTTGCTCCTCCTTTGCTTTCCACCATGATTGTGAGGCATCGCCAGCCATGTGGAACTGAGTCCATTAAACCTATTTTTCTTTATAAATTACCCAGTCTCAGGTATGTCTTTATTAGCAGTGTGAGAACAGACTAATACAGAACATGTTCAAATAGGTTTCTACTTCTATTTTCTTATTAATTTCCTCTTCATGACTATCAATGATTTGTTTTCTAAAAACTCATGGTACTTAACCAAATTACTGTTTTTTAATAGCCTGTAATAACTAACACACACACACACAGAGACACACAGACACATACACACACACACATTTAAAGTGCCTGGCAACATGGCAGTGCCTGGCAACATGGCAAAACCCTGTCTCCAAAAAGAATACAAAAAATAGCTGAGTGTAGTGATACATACCTGTAGTCCCAGTTAATAGGGAGCCTGAAGTCAGAGGATTGCTTGAGCCTGGGAGGTGGACTTTGCAATAAGCCGAGATTGTGCCCCTGCACTCCAGTCTGGGTGACAGAGGAGAACTATCTAAAAAATTAATCAATCAATCAATAAAGTGCCTACAATGTATCAGACACTGCCGGACTACCAACTTTGGGGAATAAAATAAAATTAATTATAGGAAAAATTTGTGAATTAAAAAACGATGATATTAAGGAAAAGGCCAACAAATGTAGAAAAAATTAAAAGACCCAAAGAGAACAGGATTGGTTGGATGCATGAAATCTTCAAAGAACAGATCATTTTTATCTGAAACAAACTACTCCAAAACATAAATCTAGTTGGGTGAAACTTGCATTTTTTCCAATGTGGTAGCATCAGCGTAATACTGAAACCAACCAAAGCCAGCATATGCACACATACTCTTCCACTCATTTTGTATATGCATCTCTATATATACACTACTATTGCCAATGTGACATAATTTCCTAATATCGGAACTAGGTGAAAATGAATGTTCTTTAAGTCTCCGACCCATTTTTACTTAATTTATGTATATTGGTGTATTTTGTGAGATATGTACCAAATATTGTGCATATGAATATGCAATTGTTCTTGAACTATTTGTTGAAAATGTCATCCTTTCTCTACTGATTTGCCTTTGCACCTTTATCAGAATCGATTGGCAATATATGTGTGGATTTATGTTTGGAATTTTTATTCTATTCCATTGACAAATTTGTCTATCTTTGTATCTTTTTTTTAATTCCAGAAGAAAACATGAAAGCAAATTTGTGACACTGAATTAGAAAAGGAAAAAAAAAAGAGAGATAAATTCGAGTATGTCAAAATTTGTAACTTCTGCTCTTCAAAAATATTAATAAAATGAAAAAACAAGCAAGAGAGGGGTAGAAAGCATTTACAATGCACTTACATCTGATAAATGAATTATATCTGGAATATATAAAGAACTCTCAAAACTCAGTAATGGAAAACATGATCAAATCAATAAGAGTGTACAAAATATTTGAACAGACGCTTAACCAGTGAGATTACATAGATTGTTAATCAGCCCATACAAAGATGCTCAGCACTATTAGTCTTTGTGGAAATGCAACTTAAAACAATAACAAAATTTCTATTAGTATGACTGAAGTTAAAAAGATTGACCATTCCAAGCACTAGCGGGATATGTAAGCACTGGAACTCTCACGCTGCTGTAGAAAGGAAAAATGGCACAAGCACTTTGGAAAAGAGTTTGGGAGTTTTGTAAAAAGTTAAAAATAAACCTATCCTATAATCCAGCTATTTAACTTCTAGGTAATTA
Source organism: Homo sapiens (assembly GCF_000001405.40). Lineage (NCBI taxonomy): Eukaryota > Metazoa > Chordata > Mammalia > Primates > Hominidae > Homo > Homo sapiens. Next base: position 60,784,668 of record NC_000016.10, read on the forward strand.
CCCAAGAAAAATAAAGCATATGTTCACACAAAAGCTTATACATGAATGCTCATAAATACTTTATTTGTAATAACTAGAAACTTGAGCTGATCAATATGTTTATCAGCAGAATGAATAAACAAATTGTGACACATCTACGCAATAGAATATTACATAACAAAGAAAAAGAAGGTACTCTTGATACACACAACACAAACATTTATCTATAATTATGCTAAGTTAGAGAAGCAGTTTAAAAATAGTACTACACACTAGCTGATTCTTTCCATAGAAACCTTTAGTAAACAAAAAAACAAAACAATCTAATCTATATTGACAGAGTGCAGATCAGTGGTGCCTGGTGGTATGGCCAAGAGAATCTGGAGGGAGGCGATACCAAGGGGCACAAGGACATCTTTGGGGATGATGGACATGCTAATTATCACCATTATACTGATGGTTTCATGGCTGTGTGCCTTTGTCAAAATTTATCATTGCTACACTGAATGTACCATTTAGTGTATGTTGATTATACTTCAAAAAGCAATTTTTAAACAGTCTTTAGAGCAGAATGTTTTAAATCTAATTCAGTGGCCATACATTTTGAGTTGTTACATGTTGGACCACTGGATGGTTTGGGAGGGGTTTAAGTGTTTGACTCTGAAGCTGTTATCTAGTTCTCTTGGACTTTGCCTAATCAACTTTCCTCAGTTCTTCAGGTCCCAAATCCCATTTCCTGCCTTCCTAAAGCTCCCTCTGCCTTTTTTACACACAAAGATTTCTCCTAGCTAATACTGTGCCACTTACGTAGTGTGAAATCAGATTGTGACAGTTGTGATTTGTGAGGGCAGGGCTAGCTCTGTCTTCACCATTGGATTCCCATTTCCTTGTGAAATGCTTTAAATAAATTAAGTGGTTAATAAACATTGCCTACTCAAGTTAATTATATTATGGTGTATATGTACATATACACACATTCTTACACACACTCTCTCTCTGTCTCAACACACTCAGACATACATGCATGTGGTGCTTATAATCTAGTTTCATATGTCTTTTATAATCTTCCATTGATTCTATTTCCCTATCAACAACTGCAGACAGTGTATATTTAAAATATCCAAATAACTTTGAAATTAACAAAGAGAATCATGTATTTCAATGGCATAATTTTAGCAACACTATTTTATGTTCAAATAAACCATTTTCCCATCTAGTGGCTGTCCGGTCATAGGCAAATTTATGAACCCCTCTTAACTTTAGTCTCTCTGCATCTAAAATTAATATATTAATGTCTACCTTATGAGATGTGTTAAGGTCCCAGTGATCCTATATGTGAAAAGCTTATCTAAGTATTTAACACATGATAAGTCCGCATTATATGGAGGTCATAAAATAATACTTACATCTGAAGAAGATTTCAACCTCTCCCAGACACCCCTTTCTAAGCTAATTTCACTGTTCCTGCATTAGAACCTTCCTCTGTGTCTATGCAGCTCCCTGGAGTGAATGATTCCCTATATTTGTACAGTAAATACTCCCTTTGATCTCTGATTAATGAGCCTGAATCAACTCTCTTCTTTAAAACGAGTCTCTTTCTGTAGCTTCCTCTTAAATAATGAGATAAGAGAATGAATATATAGTGAGCATCTATCAGGTTACAAACATTTAATATCTCTTATAATACTAATCTTCAAAATAAGTTTCAAATACGCATTATCTCTGTTTATAAGTAAAGATCTCGAGACTCAGCAAGGTTAAGAAATTCATCAAAGCCCACACAATGCGTAAATGATGAAGGTGGATGTCGAATTGAATTGTCTGACTCTGAAATTCATGTTTCTTTCTACTACATAATGCTACTTTTCTCAGTCATCCTATGAAACTTACTTCTAGGAAAATCACCTTTAGCAAAATCAACCCCTGCTTTTATTCAGAGCAGTCTCCTGTGAGTTATTGTTTAATAGAGAAAGCTCATGCTGCTGCCACTTTGCCTGAATCAAGTTTGTTGGAGCCCTTAAGCTGAAGCTAGATGGATGCCCGGTCACTTTGTATTATTAGAGGGTCAGGAGCACTTAGACAGGAAATAAACATAGGCGATGAGTAGAATTTACCCTTAAATATTTCTAAGTACATATCTTTATGAGAGAAAAATACCTTGAATCCATGAAGGTGGCTCAGCCAGCCTTCACGGTAGATGCCTGCATTTCATAATTTCATAGCTTCTTTTTCTACTTAAAAAAATATATTTGACAGAATACTCCCAAAATTTGTTTTTTTATCAAAAGTTGTGGACAGTCACAGTGGCTCATGCCTGTAATCCAGTACTTTGAGAGGCTGAGATGGGAGGATAGCTTCAGCCCAGGAGATCAAGGGTGCAGTGAGCTATGATTATACCACTGCACTCCAACCTGGGCAACAGAACAAGATATTGTCTCAAAAACACAAAACAAAGACATAGAGAAAAATAAGCAATATATTTAAAATGGTTGAGAGCAGGGCAGTTGTCACCTTAGCAGAATTTACAGAAAACCTGGATTGTTTTTAAGAACTAATAATAGTAGAGATAATATATATTTATATATTTTTAATATATATCACAAATAATGACAATAATATATGTTTATAACATATAATATAACATATGCTATATTTGTATATTATAATACAACATATATGTAATCTTTATGTTATAAATTAGCACTATATGTTATATAGTATATTTTATTTATAACATATAACATATATTTACTTATAAATAATGATGACAATAATAATATAAATAATATATTGCTAATCACAAGGGGAAAACAGAAATAAAAACCTTCACAAATTTCCAGTGACACTATGAGAGAAATACTCAAAATATGTACACCTCACATATTAACATGGTATAGTGAAGATTAGCAAATTAAAGATTATCTTTATGACAGTTGTGATCACGTTAGTCACAATTTTAAATTGTGCAGGCCCAGGTCAAGGAAAGATACAAACGTTAATAACAAATATACACATTTTATTTGATCAAGGCAGGGGTTATATTCAAAAGAGAAAGCAATCAATATAATGTGCACACTGGCCACTCAGAAATTCTGCTGGTCATAAACGTCAGGATGTTGGTTGACTATCACAGGAATTTTCATATATGAATGTGGACATTTAATAAGCATTTAAAACACCTGCTATATATCAGACTATACTATAATTTGGAGGAATACAGTAATGCATAAGACATTGTTTTTAAAATTCAAGTGGTTAAAGTCTAGGGGAGAAGTTGTGAAGTATAATACTTGGGGCCTAAGTGCTACATTTAAGTTAGGCCTTGAAAAATCAAGAAAATCTTTATAGGGAAAATGACAAGTAAGTTGACTTTTAAAAGATCAATAGCTTACAAGCAGGGCACGATGGAGGTAGTACAGTCCTCTAGTAAAGGATTATAGTGCCAATACCACCCCAATGAGTGAGCTCAGTTGTCACTGTATGATCCTGGACTGAAGTTTGCTGTTGCTATTGGAGCCCCAGGATTTAACTCTGAATATTTCTTCAGTTGAGTCCTAACTTGACAGCGCCTTCACTTTTCTGACTTTTTAGAGACAGAGGAGGCAGGGTACCATAGACCTAAAACATAGGGTAGCAGTTATTAGACTTCAAGAACTCCAGGCTCCACCTTCAGAGATTCTGATAATTTGTGCCTGGAGTGTGGTGCATGGCTTGTTTCTAACAAGCCCATAAAGTCATAAGGATGTACTTTATCAAGAGACCACATTTCGGAAAACTCTGTAGTAAATACCACAGGGTAAGAGCTAATAAATGATTCTGAGGAATTTTTAAAGCACAACCCACACACTTCATCTCCAGCCAGCTGCGCTAATGAAATAAGAACACAGCATTTCAACTATAGTTATTTCTATACCACTCACCCTGAGTGTTTAGAAAGCTGATTTTTATTTTTACTTTTTTTACTATATGTCTATGTTCCTTGGGACACAGTCCCAAGGGCTTTCTCCACAGCCCTTAAGGTATTAATGCATCATCATATCAATCAATGTTTAATGAAGGAAAGTTATGTTTTACATCTGGCCTGATGATTCATCAAAAGAAACTAAGGCAGTGGGCAAAGCTGGTAACCTGAACTAATCAGCATGGATTGCAGGGGTTTGCTCTCACCCATTGGCTGTTTTATAGGTCAGTTAAGTGTGCTTAGCTAATGTACTGAGACTTAAAAGCAAGCCCAAGAATAGGGTGGGTACAGCTAAGGAGACAGAGCATTAAGGGAACTCTAAGCATTTGCCAGGTTTGTCAGGAGCAAAGTTTGCAGATCATCAGGCAATACCTACAATTATGGGAATGAAAAAGCCACTTCTAAGGGTAGAACAGTACCAGGTTTATAGTGGGCAAATCCTTGGGAGGGAAGATAGTCTCCAAAAAGAAACAGTAAACAAACAAAGCCTGTTGCTGGAAGATAAAAGAAGTTGTCTTTATGCAATTAAAAAGGATCTTTCTTCAGAGCCCAGGTGTTGGCTTGGCATTCAAAGAGAACCGTAGAATATGGTAAGGTACAGCTATAAAGGTAGAAATCTGGAATGATAGACTCTGTGGCTATACTGTGTTTCCCGGTTAGAGGTGGCCAAAAGCTGCACCAAAAGCTGAAATAGGATTGAGAGCAGGCCAGATGGAAGATGAGGTCATTAAAAATCCACTCTATGATTCTTCCCACCATCCTCTTTCCTCGCTGGGTGAAGTAACCTGCATACTGTAAAATCCTTCCTTTTTTTTAACTTAGTATTTTCTAGTAAGGACATATTTTCTTAATCTAAAGTATTCCCTGCCACTTCCACCATGGTGAGATTAGATAAAAAAAGGAAGAAGATTCATAGCATGGGCTTTAGCTAAAGAAAAAAATCTTGTTTAAATTTGATGGATAAGAAGCCTCTCTGGCTCCCACTGAATTCTTCAAATTCACTATATATTTTGCAGGGTAGGATCTATTTCTCTCAGTATTATCCTCTTTAGCAATTTTTTTTCACACAAAAGTTATCATCAGGAAGAATTGTAATCTAGCTGATTAAAGATATTCTTTTTTAAAATCTTAAAGTTAATCAGAAAGTGGATTTCCATACTGGAAAATGTACGGATATGTATGGATATGGAAATGTATGGATACGGTTGGCTGTGTCAGATTTAGGGACATGACAATGGGGTCAGGATAGAATTAGGGAGGAACCATGGATAGGTTTGAAAGACTAGGTTTGAATCTAGACTTCAATCACTTACTAGCTATGTTGCTGAGCAAGTTGTTCATCCTTACTGTGCCTATATTTTCACATATGTATGTTTGTGTGTACATATTTGTAAAATAGGGTATTCATGACACTTAGCTTGTGAGACTTAAAGGAGTTGATCTGTGTAAACCATTTGGAGTGGTGTCTGGCGTATTGCTAGTGTACACAGTGAGTGCCCAGGAAGGATGACTATAACTATTACTTTGAGAAATTAATGGCTTGCTTGTTTCTAGGCACTTGTCTTTTCCAAGCTCATCTGGGACCACATTCTATGACTGCCTAGTAGCCGGTCAGTGCAGTCAAAAAGTTTCATGCTGCAGAAGTTGCAAGCACCAGGAATCGCGCAAACAGAGGAAGCATAGTTTAGCTGAGCAACATCTCTGGCCTGCTAAAATGAAGGTCTCTTCTGTACCATCTGCCTCATTCTATGTATCAGCGAAATGATAAGCATGATAGCCCTACTCCATCATGGATTGGTAAAGGGGATTACATGAAATTAAATGAATGCTGGTGCTTGTGCTGGGTTGAGTGTTTGGCATTTATTCTGCCATTTAATCATCAGCCATCTGATGCAGGCATTGCTATGATTCCCATTTTAAAGATGTGAAAGCTGAGGCTCAAGTGGTTTTGCAAGTTTTCCAGTCACGCACATGTAATAATCTGCAGGATTCAAACCAAAGCCTTAGTCCAAATGAATCGGTGTTTATAACAATAACCTTGGGTTGCGTCCAAATGCTAGGGCAGATGGAGCCTTGAATGAGAGTCAGCTGGTCTCATCTCCTCTTGCTCCTGATCTAGAAATAAGATGAGACAAACACAAGGCCATTCAGTAAACTGAAGAGCTGCCTCCTCATAACAGGTCAAGTGCTACGTCGAGGTCTGCTTGTTCCTTAATCTGCAGAAGGCCAATGAGAACATCACTGAAAGGGTGGATCCATCTCTCTCAGTAGTGCCATTTCAAGAGAAGTTCTGGATTTTTTATCCTTAAAAACACAGATCACTATGAATTTCTGAGAGACTCACTTGCATGGCAGGTGCTCTGGGCCACTCATTTCATGAGTGCTTATTAGAACTGTGCATTTTTTAAACACTTGATACAAGTATCAACATCTGAAAATAGGTGCTCTAAAATGATAGGTGCTTGTTTTTGTAATTGTCAACACTAGAAGGCTATTGCTGGATCCAATTACATGTAGAAAGCCTTTAAATAGAAGAGGAGGGATTTTTTACATGGACAGGGGTTACCAGTTCTGTTTGATATCCCTAACAGTCAGCCACCCTGGAACACAGAAGCTCTCCTTTGCTCTAACGTGTTTGGTTCTTAATTATTCAAAAAGGCTTAATGATTAATGGTGTGGAATGTACAGTCAGATTTTTACATTTAAATGTCAGATTCCCCACTTAAGATCGGTGTGAACTTGGGCAGGATATTTAACTTTTCTGTGCCTCAATGTCCTCTTCTAGAAAATGGGCATAGTTTGTGGTACCATCATCATAGGGCTATGTAAGGAACATATCAATTAATATATACAAAGTGCTCACCACAGAACCTTGCATGTAGGAAGTGCTCAATAAACATTCACTATTATTGAGTAAATTTCTGTAATCCTAGAATATTTTAATTTTAGGTATGGCTACTATAGAAAAATTAAAATGTAAATATGAAAAAATGTACATAAAATATACAGACATTTCTGTATTTAGATATCAGGTATGTTGAAAACAGATCTGGGCTTCCAATGGTTTACATTTGAGCAGGAAAGACAGATAAATAGTTAATTGCGTCACTCCATACATCCCCTGAGAGATGCAACAGAATGCTATTGGAGATGAAGAAGAAAGAGGAAACTCTTTGAGGGAGTCGGGAAAGTATTTCTGGAGGTTGTAATAGATGAGCTAAGTGAACCAGGAAAGTAAAACAAATAGAAAGGCATTCCAAGAGAATCAAAGGCAAAAAGACATAAAAAATCTGGTACATTTGATGAACGTATATTTGATATGATTAGAGGACTGGGAAGAGGGCATGAGTGTGTGAACACAGGCTACAGAAGCAACCTGGGGCTGAGTGAGGAGGTCTGGGCCTCACCATAATTGTGCACTCTCTCTCATGGTGTTTCTTTGGGGTATGCAGTAAGAGCTCTCAGTGATAGAACTGTGCTGCCTCTCCATAGAGATATAAAGGCTTGTTCTTAAACCCTTGTTCTGCCATCTCCCAGCTATGGGCAGATTCCATATTCTTTCAGCCTCAACACTCTTCTCTGTAAAATGGGGATGATGGTAATGTACCTATCTCAAAGGGTTTTGCGAAGATTAATGACATAATAATTTACGTAAATCCTAAAGCCTAGTGTTCTTACATGTTAGTGATTTTGAATTTTAATATTACCAGTGACAAAATCAATGAGACATAGCTCTTAAGCATTAGTCAAGATTACAGCCAAAAGCCAGTGTCTAAGCTTATGGTATTTTTTTTTTTTTAGATAAGCTGCCCTTTAAAAAATACATGTGTTTTGTATATTTTGTTTTTTACTTTCCTGTTTTTTCTTTTTTTTTTTTTTTCTCCAAGTGAATGGACGTTACCTTTCCCCAGAGCCTGACAGGGAATCTGATTATTTTTTCCTCCAGAGCAATTGCTAATGTTATCATTATCCATTCAGTGAATAGCATTTGGCCACTTCAGAAGCATTTTCCCACTTCCATGTAAATGGTATGATTAGATGTGAAAGGTAATCTTGAGTGCTGCCATGTTATGACATTAAAATAGTAATTCAATTGTTAGCAACCCCTCACAAATAACTATCCAACCCACTTGTATTTAATACCTCAGCGTCCTTGCATGCCTTTCCTTTTTGAAACACAAAGCAGTATTGATTTCTCTTCATAACCAACTAAAAAGTGCTTTGAGCACTGTTATCATTTCATTATCCAGCAGTAAATAAGGAAAATAACCTGCAAAAATGAAAAACAAGTCGATGGGTTACTTTTATCCTTTTCCCTGCAAAACTCAAATGCAGACAAGAATGACGTTTTGATAGATTTAAATGTCTTTATATTTGAAGATGCCTTGGCAGTCATCACGAAAGGAAGCTTGTTGTAGTGAAAAGCTGTGGGCGTAGAAATGGAAGCCCTGGTGTGATTAGTCTGCTCAGGCTGCCATAACAGAATACCACGGGCTGGGTGGTTTAAACAGAAATTTATCTTCTCACAGTTCTGGAGGCTAAAGGCTCAATATGAAGGGGTCTACGGGGTTGGTTTCTGGTAAGGCTTCTCTCCTTGGGTTGCAGATGGCTACCTTCTCGCTGTGTCCTCACTGGGTCTTTCCTCTGTGCATATGACTTCTGGTGTCTCTTTTTCTTATGAGGATGCCAATCCTATTGGAATAGGTCTCTACCTTTATGACCTCATTTTACCTTAATAACTTCCTAAAAGGCCCTATCTGCCAATACAGTCACAGCAGGTTTAGGGCTTCCACATATGGACTTGGGGGAAAACAATTCAGTCCATAACACCCAGTTTGAGAACCAGCTCTGTCACTTATTGGTCATACAACCTTAGGGAAAGATATTGGCCCCTTTCTGTGGGAATCTTATTTCTCAAATATACAGAAAGGAGTCAGACAATACCCATGATTTGTAAACTTTTTGAATGCGTTGTAAATACATCTTAGAAAGAAAAGCAAGTGTATGTATAAGTGCATATATTTATTTTTCTGAAACAAAGAAGTATTTCCTACTGCAGTGAGTTTGGAGAAATTTTTAAATCAGGTTATTACCCCCCTCCTTTCTCATCTAGGAAGCCAGGAGTCTGTGAAAAAGAGTTAGGAACCTCTGAGTGTGATGTGAGAAGCTTCTGTTATCCTTGTCTTCAATAAATCAGCCTTGCCTTAACTGTCTCCTCTAACCAAATGCCTTCATACAACTGACCGTCAAAGACCTCATTTATTTTCTGCTGCCCAGCACTATCTTCCCTCCAAAACACTTTTCGGAGACCTCCACTCAGAATTTTCTCTGTGCCATTGCAGTGGCAAATTTCCTTTGTCTGCCTTGTGATAAGGGCATGTGAATGTGATTCTCTTATGCACTAGATTTGAAGCCATTGGAAGACAAAAGAAGCCCAAATTGCAGACCAGTTCAGCTTTGAAACCAAATTGCAGACCTTAGCATGTTGAATACATGTGTCCAAGAGTATGAATTGGGATGGGGTGGTGAGTATAGATTAAAGGGGATAGTAGCCACCTATATACCTTTCTTTCTCCTGTTGCAAAAGAAAGAAGTACTAGCTCTTTATCAAAGAGAATTTCTCAATAGTGGTCCAAGATCCTTTTAAGACCAAAGGAAATATTCTTGCTGCTCTTGTGATGTCCCCCTACTTGCAAACTAACCAGTGAACCTGTCCCTGTTTCATGGATGCTGGAAGAAGACACAATTTCTAGGTCAGAGACAAAGACTCTTATTAATCAGAACATGGCAGGCTTCAGAAGCTTCATGTTCTTGCCAGTTCCCCTTCTCCCATAAGTCCTGGGGGAGTGATGTGGAGTGGCCCTGATGGACATAGTACACACAGTGGGCTTGTATCACACTAGAGGACATCCAGCTTAAGAAACCCTCAATCTTGTAAAAGGTCTCCTGGTAAACCTGCCTGCCTTTGGCACAGAAGAGGACATTATTTTTATTTTCCTCCTGAGAAAAGAAAGAAATCTTCCTTCTGTCTTGGTATCTTCCAGGGTTGTTCTTTGTTCAAATATTCTTGAAGAGTTAGTCCATGACAAAAACTGTCATAAGATAGAATAGTTTACATTGTGAAAGAATTATTATAGATAATCCCTTATTCTCCAAGCATGTCTCAGCAAATTCCTCCAGATCTGCCTCTTGCTCCATTCTTCAGACAAACGCTGTAGGACTGTTCCTTCCTCATGTCTTACAGATTTCTTCTTTTGTCTACAGAGTGATGAACAATTGGAATGGACTGCCTGCCTGTTTCTTTGCTTTCTTATCCATTTTAAAATGTTTTTCTTCTGAGAAAAAAGAGAAATCTCAGTTGGTCCCCCAGTGCTGCTCTGACCAAGTTCCTGAGACCTATCTTGAGGCCAGTGTTGTTCTAATGTTGTAGTACTATCTCCTTAGTTCAGCTAAAGACAGGGGTGGGGTCCTTGTCACAGAGCCACAAAAAATTAGGCTTGCAGATGATTTGAAGTGGGAGAAAAATGAAATGTACTGGGTGGAAAGGAAGAAAAGAGAAACAGGGACTCTCCACAAAGCCAGAGTGAGAATCTTGTTAGTATATGCTTCCCACTTGGCAGATTAAATTTCAGGTTCCACCCAGGAAGAGAAGGGGCCAGGATCCTCCCCACTGTGAATGGTGTGAACTTCTGTGGCTCCACCCCGTGCACACTTCTCCCAGTGTGCACCTGATTGGAGTTTCTCTGAGGACCCCTTCCTACCTGGCTGTCTCACTAAGATGCTACTTTTGTAGAAGGAATGGAAATAAAACAGATCAGGAAATATTTGCCTAAAGGGCATTGCAAAGGGGGGAAAAAAGCCTTTTTCAGAACCCAATCAGATTCATTTTTTTAGAATAGATATAGACAGATGGTAACTATGGAAGTGACATACAAGTGACCAAGCAACAGCCAAGAAATGCAGGATTAATGGGGCACATTCTACTGCTTATGTAGAATAAGGTGTAGAAGTTTCACTGTCCCTGCAACTTCTATGACCCTTCACTTCCTAAACATGGAAAATGAAACCATTTCCCAATTGCCTGCCCACTACTAGATTGTTGTAGCTATGGAAATAAACAGATTTGAACCAAAACCCTCTTTAAATGTAAATCTTAGCAATAGCTAAGCACTGCTTTGTAGGCCAAGCATTAAATTGTGTCATTGTCCAATACCTGCATTTATTTCCTAGGGTAATTGCCTACACTGACTTAAAATGTTTGAGAAGTGAAAGGAGAGTCATACTCCACATTTCTAGAGTCCAAACTAGAAAGTCAAAAGTCACCAGCAGAAAATCGAAATGAATAAGTGGGCTGGGAGTGGTGAAGCCTGTGGAACACTTGACAATATAAGCCTCACTGGAAGGCAGAAACTATTCATCTCTAATTGAAATTTGCTGTGTAGAAATGTTGGCTCAATGTTGGCAGATCTTCTGACCTGTCAAGGTAATTGATACGGGGGCTTTCAATTGAAATGTAAATTTCAGTTTGATAACTAATTCAATATCTGAAAACATTGAGAGCACCAAAGAACATATCTATCTTACTTGCTATGACTTCATGACAAAACAACACTAAAGTTAGTAGTTTTCAACAATAACGCTTATTTTGCTCACAAAACTGTAATTCAGGGATCAGTGGGGTCAGCTTCTTTCCGGTCTACTAGGTCCAGTTGGGGTGGCTGGAAAGCTGGGGATAAGAATGTAGATGACGAGTTAATGGGTGCGCCACACCAACATGGCACCTGTATACATATGTAACAAACCTGCACGTTGTGCACATGTACCCTAGAACTTAAAGTATAATAATAATTTAAAAAGAATCATCTGAAGGTTTGCCTACTCATGTTTAGAGGTCGGGCTGGGGAGATTTAAACAGCTGAAGACTCTTACAACATAGATTCCTGAAGTCATCTCTGCCTATCTCTATGTGGTCTTCCCACATGGCTGCACAAGGTGGCTCCCAGGCAACCAGTCTTCTCACATATCAGCTTGGGGCAGATCAGGACCTCAAGAGAGACTTGCAGAAGTATTGCCTTTCATAAACCAGCCTCAGAAGTCACTGAGCATTACTAGTACCATATTCCACCAGTACAGGCAGTAACAAAGGTCTACTAAGTTAAAGAAAAACATATATATAGCTCCCATCTCTTAATAGAGGAATCTGAATGTTATACTGTAAGAAGAGTATATAGGATATGATATGTATTGGTGAGCACATCTTTGTAAAATACCATTTGCTATCACATCCGTATACTCATTGTCCACCTCTTGGCACCAGCTCATACTGAAGAAATATTGGCATGTTCTGGGATTTGAGAAAATAATGTTGAGCCTCTTCTAATGGTACATGAAAATTTCGTTTTCCTACTCCAACTTGGTTTGGCTGAATAACATGGCTCAACCTAGATATAGTCAACCATATGATTCCTTCCTGGAAAAGATTGTGGGCAGTCCTATTAGGGACTCAAAAATCTAGATAGCTGCTGTAATTAGTCCTGGATAATGTTCTAGAGCAGATCAGGAAGTTGTTTTAGACACTTAGAAGTAGAAGCATAAACAGAACAATTACTAAAATATTCCTCACAGTGAAGTGGGTCAAGGTGGAAAAGATAATTATATTTTTAGCTCCAAGTGGAAGAGGCAGGTTCTAAGCCAGAAATGGGAGGTAAAGCCAAAATATCAAGAGACAAGTCTGTAATGACAACAGATACCCAATGGGATACTTAAGGTGCCTGGCATTGTGAAGAAGCATAAAGGGAGCAAGCAAAGAAGAAGAAATCTCTAAGGGGAACTTTATGAGAAAGCTGAAAATTCTTTTTGGAATCAACACCAGGGTATCCAACTCTACATCTTACTGTAGCCCAGCTACACGCTGTGAGCAAACGACATTACAGGTATTCTTGCTCATGAAAGCAGACAGCATTCAGGTGGATTTCTTGAGGCTCCTAAATTCAAAAGCTTCAAATCAGAGTCAAATGTTAATGGAGCTCATGTGCTCACATTACAAAAGAACTACAATGAGTTGCTGATGCAATTGGTGCACCCTATAGAAATGAGATTCTTACTCTGAATATCTGTTGCTCTCCCTATGCACCATCTCTATATAGATATTAATAGATATTATTTCTATATAAATATGTATCTAATTCTCAAAGGCAATGTAACTGATCACTACACTTTTTTTAAAAACTAAAAAAAAATTTAGGCTTAGGAGAGATAAATTATATAAGAACCTCAGGAGGAAAATCTTTATGAAATACTCATGTAAATTGCTTTATCTTGTTGTAGTGTTATTACTTTTCAGTGGTTATGTCTGATGTTAACATTTTCATTCAAGATCCACTTCTTTGTTGTGCTCTGCTGGGGAAGGATGGATTGCTTTATTATATTGTGATCTGGCTTGGGAAAAATCCCACATAATGTGTTATTTTAAAAAATACATATATGTAACAGAAATGCTTCATTTTGAATCAATTCTTATTGAAAACAAAATGTGATGTTTACTGTGATAATGGCAAAGCTAACTTCAAATTTTTTTCAATTATCTCTACCTTTGCTTGTAAATGTATTAATATGATGTTGAAGAGTGAGCAATAAGCCAAGAACAAGAAATCTTTGGTTCTATGCCCTCTCTATGATGCTTATTCACAGAGTTTTACAGTCTTTTAGCCTCAGTTTTCTATTTTCTTTTCTTTCCTTCTTTCTTTCTTTCTTTCTTTCTTTCTTTCTTTCTTTCTTTCTTTCTTTCTTTCTTTCTTTTTTTTGAGACGGAGTCTCTCTCTGTCACACAGATTGGAGTGCAGTAGCGCGATCTCTGCTCACTGCAAGCTCTGCCTCCTGGGTTCATGCCATTCTCCTGCCTCAGCATCCCAAGTAGCTGGGACTACAGGTGCCCCCCCCACCACCCCCAGTTAATTTTTTGTATTTTTAGTAGAGGTGGGGTTTCACCGTGTTAGCCAGGATGGTCTCGATCTCCTGGTGGGTCTTGATCTGCCCACCTCGGCCTCCCAAGTGCTGGGATTATAGGTGTGAGCCACCACACTTGGCTAGCCTCAGTTTTTTAATTTGCAAAGTTAAATAGATGATCTAAAATGTCTCTAAAATCTATTGTTTCTGATAGATCATATTGTGTAATATATTATTCAAGGAGAAGCCTCCAAGATTTCTTGCCATCATAAAAGTAATCAAATTTCTGGTGGTCCTCATTTAATTCCCCAAATCAGGTTCAAAGAAAAGTCAAGAGAGATGCCAAGGTGCCAAGATGCCAAGATGGGTTAGCACCACTAATTGCAATCCCCCTGGTACTTGCATTCATGATGGAGCTTTCTCCCAAGAGTTGTGCCATGCTGTGGTCAGAGTCAACAAAATCCATATGTTGAAATCTGATCACCATTGCAATAATACTAAGAGGTGGGGCCTTTAGGAGATGATTAGTTTGTGAGGGTGAGGCCCTCATGAATGAGATTAGTGTCTGTATAAAAGAGGCTTATGGGAGCTTGTTAACACCTTCTGCCATCTGAGGAAACGTATCTATGAGAAATGGGCCCTCACCAGGCACCAAATCTGCTAGTGCCGTGATCTTGAGTTTCCTAGTCTCCCAAACTGTAAGCAATACATTTCTATTATTTATAAATTACTTAGTATATTTTGTTTTAGCAACCCAAAAAGACAAAGACAGGCCACTTCTGTGTGTGTTAATGCCAGAAAACTATCTCTTAAGAGATCTATATTGTCAAAGAGTACTTTTGCCAAGAGCCCTTAAGATCTGTGACAAATCTGTTTCCTGCAATAAGATTCAAGGGTTATTTTTGATCTTCTGAGTCAAAAGTAGCATCACTATGGTGATTTCCTTCACTCTATTAACGTTTTTGACAAAATATCAATGCACAGTATATACACTTACATGATTACACACACATAAAATGTAATCCATGTAATCCTTGCCCCCTCCCAAATATTAAATTCTTTGGAAAATAAAATGGTCATGCGTTCCAAATATCATAGAGGATTGAGGAGAAAGAGTTGAACTAAACTCTTCGTTAGTTTACTCTTCATAGATACACTCAACAAACATTAGGTAATTTACCTAAATTTTGACTGAAAATCTTTAGATACATACATTCAACCAACAGAAAAGACAAAAAGGAAATGTGACTATGAGTTTATGATGCTGGAGAGGAAGAGAAGGTAGAATTAACAGTTGTTCAAGGCAGGAGGCATCACACTACCTGACTTCAAACTATACTACAAGGCTACAGTAACCAAAACAGCATGGTACTGGTACCAAAACAGAGATATAGAACAATGGAACAGAACAGAGCCCTCAGAAATAATACCACACATCTACAACCATCTGATCTTTGACAAACCTGACAAAAACAAGAAATGGGGAAAGGATTCCCTATTTAATAAAAGGTGCTGGGAAAACTGGCTAGCCATACGTAGAAAGCTGAAACTGGATCCCTTCCTTACAGCTTATACAAAAATTAATTCAAGATGGATTAAAGATTTAAATGTTAGACCTGAAACCATAAAAACCCTAGAAGAAAACCTAGGCAATACCACTCAGGACATAGGCATGGGCAAGGACTTCATGTCTAAAACACCAAAAGCAATGGCAACAAAAGCCAAAATTGACAAATGGGATCTAATTAAACTAAAGAGCTTCTGCACAGCAAAAGAAACTACCATCAGAGTGTACAGGCAACCTACAGAATGGGAGAAAATTTTTGCAATCTACTCATCTGACAAAGGGCTAATATCCAGAATCTACAAAGAACTCAGACAAATTTGCAAGAAAAAAACAAACAACCCCATCACAAAGTGGACGAAGGATATGAACAGACACTTCTCAAAAGAAGACATTTATGCAGCCAACAGACACACGAAAAAATGCTCATCATCACTGGTCATCAGAGAAATGCAAATCAAAACCATAGTGTGAAATGAGATACCATTTCACACTAGTTAGAATAGTGATTATTAAAAAGTCAGGAAACAACAGGTGCTGGAGAGGATGTGGAGAAACAGCAACACTTTTACACTGTTGGTGGGACTGTAAACTAGTTCAACCATTGTGGAAGTCAGTGTGGCGATTCCTCAAGGATCTAGAACTAGAAATACCATTTGACCCAGCCATCCCATTACTGGGTATATACCCAATGTATTATAAATCATGCTGCTATAAAGACACATGCACACATATGTTTATTGTGGCACTATTCACAATAGCAAAGACTTGGAACCAACCCAAATGTCCATCAATGATAGACTGGATTAAGAAAATGTGGCATATATATACCATGGAATACTATGTAGCCATAAAAAATGATGAGTTCATGTCCTTTGTAGGGACATGGATGAAGCTGGAAACCATTATTCTCAGCAAACTATTGCAAGGACAAAAAACCAAACACCACATATTCTCACTCATTGGTGGGAATTGAACAATGAGAACACATGGACACAGGAAAAGGAACATCACACACTGGGGCCTGTTGTGCGGTGGGCAGAGTGGGGAGGAATAGCATTAGGAGATATACCTAATGTAAATGACAAGTTAATGGGTGCAGCATACCAACATGGCACATGTATACGTATGTAACAAACCTGCACGTTGTGCACATGTACCCTAGAACTTAAAGTATAATAAAAAGAAAAAAAAAAGAATCAACAGTTGTTCTTGGAGGAGTTCATTCTTAGGCCAAGATTTCTCTTACCCAATTCACTTTTTTAACTGGTGAGATTTAAATTGTTTAGTAATATACCTAGTGAATACGTAAGGGAATTTCAGAGACATTGTATTGAGAGACCCACAGGTTTCTGCAGTATGTGTGTGTGTGTGTTTAAGTACTTTCACACTAGTACACAAAAAAATTAATAGTATCAGAACACAGTTTTTATAATTACAAACCCAGAATTTCTACATCAATTTTAAGCACACACATCAAAGAAGTATGAGAATCACAAGGTGGCAACAAGAAATATGAAAGAAACAGGAGAGTCTTGCTGGAAGGTGAGTGATGGAGGAAGAGGGAACAGACAGTCGGGGATGGTATTTTCTCCTGTTAAAATGACAAGAAAGAGGAACATAATGAAATAATTTGAAAGGCAAAAGCACTTTGAGATATATGAAAATACCAACTCTCTCAGAGTTTTGGTGGTGTAAAGAGGGTTGAGTAGGATAGAAATATTCCAGAAGGAATGGAGCCTATTTTAAGACACTCAGATACTCTCTTTACTCTCTTTAACAAAAACAAAAGAGGTCAGAAGATCCAGGGTAAATATGATTTCAGTAAAACCAAATAGAACAAAATAAAACAAAAAAAAGAAAAAGAGAAAGAAAGAAACAAAGAAAGAAAAGGGAAGAGGCTTTTACTCCACATTGGGCTGCTTCTCCCAACTGTCACTCACCAAACTAAAATCAAAACTGAATGGCTTTTTTACTTTATATATTTTGTATATTTAAGATATTCCTGTATCAGAGTTACAACATACTATACTTTTTCTATTAACTGTTCTAGATAGAATATTCCTAAATGTCTAAATTAAGCTTTTATTTCATTCAACACTGGCTGTTGATACATTAATGTCTAGTATCACAGAGATGCCAGGAATAAGGAAGGCAAGGAAATGTTTGCAAAGTAATCTAAAGGCTTAATTACATTATGGACGTCTCAGTGGACAATTAAGATCAGAACATGGAGTAAACAATCAAAACAAATTACTGAAGGTCTGACATTGAAATCCAAATATATACATCAAGACTGAGCAGAAATCCAAATCTTTATACACCAGACATGGATGTATCCCAAAAAGGTCATTATGAGAATAAGGTATTTTATTTATTTTTTTCGTGCACACAATTTATTTCTGAGGAAGTTTTCATTTCCTAAGGATAGCAACAGTATTCAGACATCTTTTCGCAAATTGCTAATCATAATTTTGAACAAAAGCCAAATTAGATACTTTATAGAGATAATCGGTGAAACACTCTTTCTTAGGAATTGTGCTTGTTCAACTGGAAGAAGAAAACACTTTGTCATTACATAGTTGTGGCCTTCAGATATTTTGAAAAACTGTCAGTGGAAAAAGCAATACATCTACTTCTCTGCCTTGGCAGGAGAACAGTGATCAATACTTGAAAATACCATCACCACCTTCAAAGTTGGAGAACTAAAAACAAACAACAAATTACAAATTGGGTATCTTATACCGTTTAAAAATTGTACTTACTGGAGGACAGAGAGCGGAGGCTTTGTTACCATAAACAGGAATCCAAGACCCTGGGTGGAAGCTAAAATTCTGTAGGCCTGGCTGAAGGTGTTGTAGCCTCGAGCAGACACGTCAGTGTGCAGACACTGCCAGAAATGCTATGTGTGGCATCTCTTTCCTTTTGTCTTCTAATCCTGTTAGTACTTTCCCCTGCCCAAACCCAGTAGGAATTAGGAAAACTCAGCCATCAAAACTACATTTCTCCATAACACAGGCAGGGGTAAAAAAAAGACAAGACATGTTTTTCATAGCAAATATACCAAAGATTGGCACAAGAACCCAGGGATTTATATTTTCATTTAGTTTGGGTTCCACTGCTGGAACTTGGAAGTGACATTTGAGCTGACATATTAAAGACAACAACAGACCTGAATTTGAAGGCCCTTCAAAGAGCCCTTCAGGTTGAGGAAACAGCAAGTGCAAACTCTTGGTGGCAGAAAAATGCTAAATGCATGTGAGAAACAGAAGGGGCATCCAATGTGGCTGGAGCACACTTTGTAGGGAGTTGCGGAATGGGGCTGTTGGGGAAAAGGTTGTAATTATAGACAGGAACCAGATTGTTGTGCCATGATGGGTTGTTGAGACTTGCTCTAAGAGCAACAGTTGTTCTTTGAAAATAATGTATTAGGGGATGAAAAATTCTGATTATTGTTTTGAAAATATCACTCTAGCTGCGGGAAAAAAATCACTAAAGACATGCAAAATAGAAATAATTGTAGGCCATATGCAAGTTTCTTATTATTTATTAACATACTTTATGGCAAGTAAATTTACTCAAATATGTAACTGAAGTAATAATGTAGGCATTTTCCTAAGTTAAAATGTTGATTTAGAAGTTCATTTCTCTGATTTGGAAGTATTTTACAATTTTTACTTACCTGTAATATAGACAGGTTTCCTTTTCACTCCATAGTTAATAATTGAGAGCACCATGCAACTTATTTGAAATTAGATTACATTTGGCAAAAGTTATAATATGAGGTAAACTAAGACTATAATTTCAACAAATAAATGGAATCTATTTGATCCTAAGATCAAATAGCACATTTATATAAGAATAATATTTTGAAAATCGTACAATTTTTAAAAGTTTTTTTAGCGACATGCTGAACAATGCGTCAGTCTCTTAATAGCAAAAGTGATCAAGCAGAAGAAAGAATTAGTGAGCTTGAAGACAGGCTATTTGAAAATACACAGTCAGAGGAGACAAAATAAAAAAAAAAGAATAAAATACAATGAAACAAATCTATAGGATCTAGAAAATAGCCTCAAAGGGCAAATCTAAGAGTTATTGGCCTTAAAAAGAAGGTAGAGAAAGAGATAGGGGTAGAATGCTTATTCAAAGAGATAATATCAGAAAACTTCCCAAGCCTTGAGAAAGATGTAAACATTCAAGTAAAAGAAGATTACAGAACACCAAGCATATTTTACCTGAAGAAGACTCCCTCAAGCTATTTAAAAATCAAACTCCCAAAGTTCAAGGATAAAGAAAGTATCCTAAAAGCAGCAAGAGAAAAGAAACAAATAACATTCAATGGAGTTCCAATACATCTATCTGGCAGCAGACTTTTCAGTGGAATCCTTACAGGCCACGAGAGAGTGGCATGATATATTTAAAGTACTGAAGGACAAAAACTTTTACCCTAGAATAATATATTTGGCAAAAATATCCTTTAAGCAGTAAGAGGAAATAAAGACCTTCCCAGACAAACAAAAGTTGAAGAATTTCATCAACACCAGACCTGTCCTACAAGAAATGCTAAAGGAAGTCCTTCAATCAAAAGAAAAGGATGTTAATGAGCAAGAAAAAAATCATCTGAAGGGACAAAACTCACTAGTAATAGTAAGCATGCAGGAAAAACACAGAATAGTATTACACTGTAATTGCAGTATGTAAATTTCTCTTGACTTAAGTAGAAAGACTAAAATATAAGCCAATCAAAAACACTAATCACAACTTTTCAAGACAGAGAGAGTACAATCAGACAAAGAAATAACAAAAAATTAAAAAGTGGGAGATGACGCTGAAATGTAGAGTTTTTATTAGTTTCTTTTTGTAGAGTTTTTATTAGTTTTTTAAGGTGTCTTCAGTTTAAAATAATTGGTTATGAGATAGCATTTCCACCCCTCATAGTAACCTCAAATAAAAAAACACACAACAGATACACAAAAAGTAAAAAGCAATAAATTAAACTATACCACCAAAAAACACAACAAAAAAAAAAATCACTTTCACTAAAAGGAAGACAAGAAGGAAGGAAAGAAGAGAAGATTGGAAAACAACCAGAAAAAATAATAAAAAAATGGCAACAGTAAATCCTTACTTATCAATAATAACGTTGAATGCAAATAGATTAAATTCTCAAATCAAAAGAAATAGAGTAGCTGAATGGATGAAAAAACCATGATCTGTTACCTAGGAGAAGCATACTTTATCCATAAACATACACACAGACTGAAAATAAAGGGATAGAAAAAGATATTCCATGCTAATATAAACCAAAAAAAGAGGAGGAGTAGCTATGCATAAAACAGACAAAATAGATTTCAGGACAAAAACTGTAAGAAGAGAAAAATGGAAGTGATTATATAATGTCAATAGAGTCACTTCGGCAAGAGAGTATAATGATGGTAAATATATATTTACCCTTTGGATATATACCCAGTAATGGGATTGCTGGGTCAAATGGTATTTCTATTTCTAGATCCTTGAAGAGTCTCTACACTGCCTCCACAATGGTTGAACTAATTTACACTCCCACCAACAGTGTAAAAGCATTCCTATTTCCCCACATCCTCTCCAGCATCTGTTGTTTCCTGAGTTTTTAATGATCGCCATTCTAACTGGCATGAGATGGTATCTCATTGTGGTTTTGATTTGCATTTTTCTAATGAACAGTGATGATGAGCATTTTTTCGTGGGTTTGTTGGCTGCATAAATGTCTTCTTTTGAGAAACGGGTTGATGGGTGCAGCAAACCACCATGGCACGTGTATACCTATGTAACAAAACTGCACGTTCTGTACATGTACCCCAGAACTTAAAGTATAATTAAAAAAAAATGTAGTAGTTGCTCCAGAGTTTGCAATAGACATTTATAACAAATTCAAGTCCAATTAACAATATACTGCTTTATGAGCAGTGCAAATACATTTATATATATATATATCTCCAACAGTGGAGCACACAGATATATAAAGCAAATATTATTAAAGAGAGTGATAAACCCCAATACAATAACCACAGGAGACTTCACCACCACACATTCAGCATTTGACAAATCTCCCAGACACAAAATCAACAAAGAAACATCAAAGTTAATTGGCACTATAGAACAAATGGACCTAAAAGATATTTACAAACATTTTATCCAACAACTGCAGAATATACATTTTTCTCACCAATACATGGATTATTCTCAAGGATAGACCATATGTTAGGTCACAAAACACGTCTTAAAAATTCAAAAAATGTAAGTAATACCAACCATCTTCTCTGACTACAATGGAATAAAATTACAAATCAATAACAAGAGGAATTTTGGAAACTATATAGCCACATAGAAATTAAACAATATGCTCCTGAATGAACAGTGGGTCAATGAAGAAATTAAGAAGGAAATTGAAAAATGTATTGAAACAAATGATAATGGAAACACAACATATCAAAACATATGGGATATGGCCAAAGCAGTAGTAAGAGTAAAATTCATAGCTATCAGTACTTATATAAAAAAGAAAAACTTTAAATAAATAACCTAATGATGCATCTTAAAGAATTAGAAAAGCAAGAGAAAACTGAACCCCAAATTAGTCAAAGAAAAAAAGTAATAAATATCAGAGCAGAAATAAATGAAATTCAAATAAAGAAAACAAAGATCAATGAAACAAAAAGTTGGTTGTTTGCAAAGATAAACAAAATTGACATACATATAGCCAGACTAAGAAAAAATTATATACAAATAAATAAAATCAGAGATGAAAAAGGAGACATGATGACTGATACCACAGAAATTCAAAGGATCATTAGTGGCTACTATGAGCAAGTATATGCCAATAAAGTGGAAAATCTAGAAGAAATGGATAATTTCTAAACACATACAACCTATCAAGATTTAACTATGGAGAAATCCAAGACCTGAACAAACCAATAACAAGTTACAAAATTGAAGCTGTAATTGAAAGTCTCCCAGTAATGAAAAGACTGGAGCCAATAACTTCACTTCTGAATTTTACCAAATATTCAAAGAAGAACTAATATCAATCCTATTCAAACTGTTCCAAAAAATATAGGAAGGGAGTACTTCCAAACTCATTCTATGAGCCCAATATTACACTGATACCAAAACCAAAGGCACATCAAAAAAAGAATACACAGATCAACATCTCTAATGAATCAGTGCAGAATCAATGCAAGTCCCAGCAAAATACAAATGACATTCTTCACAGAAATAGAATATAAATAATCCTAAAATTTATATGGAATCATGAAAGACTCAGAGTAGCAAAGCTAGAAAAAGGGCAAAACTGGAGGAATCAAGTTACCTAATTTCAAATTATGTTACAGAGCCGTAGTAACCAAAACAGCATGGTACTGGCATAAAAACAGACACACAGTCTAATGGAACAGAATATATAACCCAGAAAAAAATTTACACAATTAGAGTAAACTCATTTTTAACAAGGTGCCAAGAACATACACTGGGGAAAAGACAGTCTCTTTTATAAATGGTGCTGGGAGAACTGGGTACCCAATATGCAGAAGAATGAAACTAGAACCTTACCTCTCTCCATATACAAAAGTTTAATAAAAATTTATTAAATACTTAAATCTGAGACCTCAAACTGTGAAACTACTACAAGAAACCCTTTGGGAAACTCTCCTGTGCATTGATCTGGGCAAAAATTTCTTGAATAATATTCTACGAGCACAATCAACCAACGCAAAATTGGACAAATGGCATCACATCTAGTTAAAAAGCTTCTGCACAGCAAAGGAAGCAACCTACAAAATGAAGAGATAACACACAAAATGGGAGAAAATATTTGCACACTTCCCCTCTGACTAGGGATTAATAACCAAAATATATATAAAGCTCAAACACCTGCATAGGAAAGAATATAATAATCTGATTATAAATTGGAAAAGATTTGAACAGACATTTCTTAAAAGAAGACTTACAAATGGTAAAAAGGAATAAGAAAAAGCACTCAACTTCATCGATTATCAGAGAAATGCAAATCAAAACTACAATGAGATATCATCTCACCCCTGTTAAAAATGGCTTATATCCAAAAGATAGGCGATAACAAATCCTGGGAAGAATGTGGAGAAAAGTGAAACTTTGTACACTTTTAGTGAAAGTGTAAATTGGTAAAACCACCATGGAGAACAGTTTGGAGGTTCCTCAAAAAACTAAAAAAAGAGCCACTATACAATCTGGCAATCCCACTGCTGGGTATATATGCAAAAAAAAAAAAAAAAAAAAAAAAAAAAAAACAGGAAATCAGTTTGTTGAAAAATCAGCACTCCCAAGTTTGTGGCAGCACTGTTAACAATAGCCAAGACCGAAAGCATCCTAAGTGTCCACCAATAGACAAATGGATAAAGAAAATGTCCATATACACAATAGAGTGCTATTCAACCATGTAAACGATTGAGATTCTGCCATTTACAACAACATGGATGGAACTGGAGGTTGCTATAATAAGTTAAATAAGCAAGCCCCAGAAAGATAAACGTTGCATGTTGTCACTTATTTGGTGACATTTAAAAATCAAAACAACTGAACTTATGAAGACAGAGAAGAATGGTTACCAGAAGCTTGGAAGGGTACTTGGGGGAACAAGCGGGGGTGTGAGGTTTGGTAATGGGTATAAAAAAATAGAACAAATCAAACCTAGTATTTGACAGCACAAGAGGGTGACTCTAGTCAATAATAATTTAATTACACATTTGAAAATCACTAAGAGTATAGTTGGATGGTTGGTAACACAAAGAATAAATGCTTGAGGGTATGGATACCTTTTTCCATGATGTGATTATTACACATTGCATACCTGTACCAAAATATCTCATGTACCACATATATAATATATATACTGTATATATATAGCATATATATACTATTTATACATATACAGTGTGTGTATATATATATATATATACACACACATACTATTTACCCACATAAATTAAAAACAATTATTTTTTTTAAAGTAGGGCTTTGTGAGTGGTGTTTTGGATTTAATTTTCAAATTAGAATTTCAAATGCCAATGGCAGAGAATGCTATGTTTTTCTTAAAAGGGGTTTCTCCATTGACTAACACACATTTACAAAAAGGAAACATATCAGAGTCTTCTTATCTTCCTGCTCAACTCTAAACAAGTAATTATTGGAATCCTGTTAGATCTTCCTAGTCATTCTTATGCAAGAGCATAAGTCTAGGTCCTGTTTTAAATATAGCGATCATGAAAAGAGCATATCTCCCTACATTCTGTTATTATGGGGAGGGCATAGGCAGTCAAGGGATATGACTTTTCTTTAACTCTAGAAATCTACTAGCCCTGTGGCTTAGGACAAGTCACTGCACTGAGTCTTAGTTTCTCCATCTGGACACAGATGAGATATCTCAACATATGCCTCACAATTTGCATTAAAAACTAAAAAACAGATAGAGTGAACATGCTTTATAAACTCTGACGTATACCCCATATGTAATATTTTCCTTCCCTCAGTGGGATGGAATTCTTATTTGGCAGGTCTAATCTTCACTCCCTAGATTACTCTGTTTCGATGCCTTTCTCTTGCCCTATGATAAAGTAAAAATTATTTACTGCAGTCTCATGCCTGACTAATTCTCAACCTCTTTTCTTGTGGTGTTTACATCTCTCCTTCTGTATCATTCTGTAGCTTACATTTGTCCCTCAAATGCTTCACCTGTACTTCATTCAGAACAGTTTTTGAGCTTATATTACATTTTGGGTTTTCTGCTGGGATGGGGACACAGTGGTGAAATGATTACTCCATATCTTGAATAATTATGGTGCTCATATAGTAGGGCAGTAACTAACATTAAATTGCCCAGACCAGGAAGTTAGTAAAACAATATACAATAGGATGTGTGAACTGTGGCAAGAGGGAGAGAGTACAGAGAACAATCCATCTCATGGAGACTAGTACAGTTAAGCTAATCAGTGCTCTAGAAGGATATGGCTGCAGTGTTTCCCCTTCATCTTCGTTTTGAATTGAAAGCAGATATGCAGAGTTTTCTGTGTTGTCTCTTAGCATTTAAATCTGGGCCAGCAGCTAATAGAAAAAAAATACTGTGCTGTAAAACAAAATATGTTTGCTGGATATGGTCTTCAGTCTCTGATCTGTTCTTTCTTTCCTTGAGGCAACTCACCTCTGACTCAGAACTTTTGCTCATGCTGTTTCTCTCACACAAAACATTATTTCTACTACAAGCAGCATCCTCCACTTCACTTAGGGAATTCCTATATATCTTTCAGATCCCAGGGAAGCTTTCTCTCATCTTCCAGACCAGTTATTGTGGCATGCCATACATTCTTTATGTAGAGTGACAGGTTCCCTACCAGGTTACTTAAGGGTGCATTTATCTGCTGAGTGAAACTTGAAGGCCAGACAGTGAGCCAGGTTATGGTGTCTAGCTGAGGAGCAGATGTTCCTGGGAACCTAAATATCCCAGGCAGTATCTGTGAACCTACTAAGAAAAATAGTCATAGCTCTTAAGCACAGTAAGCAAAGATCAAGAATATTAGCCTAAAAGTAGTTTAAATATGAGAAACTGCAGGCTCTCTAGAGATGATCTGTCACTGTCCAGGAGTGCCTTATATGTTAATTCCTAATAAACTCATCTACTCATCAAACTGGAGTTGTTCAAGTCATTCTTTGGTCTCATGGCTATTTCCTAGTTTGGTGTTGGAGGGGAGATGTTACTGTCCAAAGTGTTTCTCGTAACATTTTTTCTTACTATTATATGGTCATATTTTCCTGTTATTAATTATTATCAGTCTGTGTGCCTAGTTCTATAAGCTCCCTGGACTGGGTCTCTGTCCTGATCATCAACCCTCATGTCTTCTTCTGATTAATATTTCAATAAAAATTTGGAAGCTTGGCATTAAGAATAGCTGTTCCTTAAGAAGAAAACATTCACCTTTCTGAAATTTGATATAAATGAGCCCATGATTCAGTTAGGAATGTTTGAGCCGAAACTAGGCTACTGCTGGGGATGGCTCGTTGCTGTGTGACTCAAAAAGTGAGTTAAGAGTTAAAAGCATTGCTTTGCTGTGACTACAATCCTCAGTGAAAACTTCAGCCTACATGCAATGTCAAGACATCGGTAGTCGAACATTCATTCAGGAATCACCATAATCCAACTTCTCTATATTAGTCTGTAGATGGTTTCCATGTGTTCGTGACAGCCAGGCAAATCCAGCCAGGAATACAACAGCCAGGCAAACGTTTATAATATCTCAAACCTTGCTCAAAATAGTAAGTGCTATTTCTGCATAAGAACAGCATGATCTATAATGTTCAAACTGTATTGTAGCACCCCAGTAGAAATATATTGCTGCCTATCTGGGGTATCAGAGGCACAAAGGGACACTGGAAGATAGGTGTGCCTTCTTGGAGAATCAATTTTAGCCTAACCTGTGAGAAGAATATATTTTTATATTGATTAGAAGGGAAATCAACTATTGTGAAGTACAGAAATTTATTAGGTTAAGTGAGAAGTATATAACATGTAATTGCTTAAAGGATTTCTAGAGGAAAATATATAATCATGCAGTTCTATGAGTTTGAAAATAAATACTCTGAGTTATATTAGTACAAGTGAAACACACTAAATCAGTAGAATTAGGTGAGCATGACTCAGTCAGCAAGCTGTGCATGTCTGAGTCAGCAAAAAATTTGGAAATGTAATGATGATAGAGGGAGATACTACAGCTTTGAGTTTCTTGGCACCATATAAAAGATACAGGAACTAGGCTGGATTGTAGCAGGAGCTTGTACTGAGAACACAGTTGAGCTTTAATAAGAAAGAGCTTGAAGGGGAGAATCTAAAAGGCTAATCTGGTTGTGACCTCAGAAATTTCTTAAGCACCCTTTCTTCCTGTTATTTCTTGTGTCTTATCAACCCTACCACCCTGACATTGGTATTTGGAGAAAATTTTGGATCGGTTGATTACGGGCTGGATTCTCTCAGTGATTTTTATTAATTGGCTGGATTAACTATCAGCTGTGACAAAGACCTACCTGATATCTATATATCTATTAATCTACCAATCTATCCTTACCATTGGTCAATAGCTGTCTATCAAAACAGCATTTATTAATAGTCAAATAGTACTTAAGGGCTTACAATGAAAAGCAACATCTATTTCCCTTATTACTCATAAGGAATAAACCTTTTAACTACCTGTTGGTTGAGTTCATGTCTAAAAATGTGTCTTAGTTTGGGTCCCTCCAGAAGCAGATCCTGAGTCAAGGAGTGAAATCTAAGTAGTTTATTCAAAAAGTGCAAGGAAATAAGGAAAGGACACAGGGAAGGTAAGGAAAGGTGCTAATGTAGGATGTATTGTTACTTCAGTTACTTTAATGAATGAATAGAGGTTAATTATATAGAAAAAGATATAAAATGGATGCTTCAGAAATATCTCACTTGGTGGTGGAAAGAGCTAGGACATTTGTTCATCTTCTTCCATTGGACTATGATTGAGTTCTGCTCGTGGCGGTTATTCCCCAGCACTTCTGACCTGCTTCACCAGTGGACAAAGTGGCCTTCTGGAAAAAGTCCTGAGGCTCACAGACATAGGTGTCAGTTACCTGGAGCACAAAGAAATAGTAAAGTCCAAAGAAATGCAGGCAAGGCACTGGTAATATCCCCCACAATATACTTCTACTAAATGTCTTTATACTCAATATTGTTTATAATTGATTTATTTTCTCCTAAAGTAAAAACTAAACTCACACCATAGTCTCCAGATGTTTTCCTGCATCCCATATAATAGATTATACTTTTTATTTCTGAGCTGTTTAGCCTTGTATCTTTTAAATACTACACATCCCATTTGTCTTTTACAGACATTTTGATGTCTTTCCTTACAAATTAAACATATTAGAACCCTCTTACCCTCTCTCAATTCTCCATTACTTTGACATTCCAGCTCCTATCTTTTGTATATTTATTTTTATAACTTTATGTACCTTCCTATGTGTAACATTACATGTTATAGATGCGTTAAACAGGCTCTCGTGTAACATAATTAAGCTCTAATCAGTTTGCTTATGGGTTGCATGTGTAACTTGATAATTAATAAATATCATCAAATGTATAGGATCATGTTGAATACTATCCAATATAGATTGTTCTTGAATCTCTAAAACCTTGTGCTTTAGCTTGGTAAGTCTTTATGTTTGCCCTAAAACCATCATCCTGGAAGTTTCTTTTGTTATTAGGTGTATTGTAATTATTATTGGAACTATTATTTCCTGGGTCCCATATAAAATACTATGTGTGATAGTCAGAATAGGTATACAATTATTAGTCAAATATCTTTTATCCTCAAAACATACAAAATTCCTTATACTCTGATCTAACATTTTAGTTTATTTATAAGTGGCTTATTACTACTCCACCTCATACTGACCTCCACCTCACAATAACTTAGAATAGTCATTTTATTGCTTATGATTCTAAAATTATGGAGCAATAAAATGATTCAGTAATGTCTAAGAATTAATCATTTTAATTTCTAGGCTCATATTTTAATTTTGATGACTGATGTTCAGAAAATGTCTTCTTTTTTTGTATTGAATCCAATTTGTTCTTTGTTTTCCCTTTTTGGGGTAACTGTTAGTAAAGTATTGCATAGCCAAGATTTTTCATCTTTTTTCTGTTCTCACATTTTTTATCTTCATGATAAAATCAGGAGATTTTATTGGCTTTGTTGTCCAACTTTAATTAATTGATCACTTTTACTTGTAAATTTAGCAATTTCTCTTAATTTCTACAATGTCTTTCATATTTTCTTACTTTACATAGAATTTTGTTTCTGTTTTTTTGGATGGATTATATTAGAGGCTCTCATAGACAATAGAGGGTTCAAAACAGGGACAACACAGAGATTTATTTGCTTAAAAATTTTTACTTTTTATATACGTGTTTCTGATCTGAGTCTCCCTATGCTGCCCAGGCTAGTCTTGAACTCCTCACCTCAAGCAATCCTCCTGTCTTGGCCTCCCAAAATGCTGAGATTACAGGCATAAGCCACCAGGTCTGGCCCCAAGTTTCCCATTTTATGTATAAATAAGCATAGGGACAAATAAGTAAAAGGGTTTCTTCATGACCAAACACCAAATAAGTGATAGAACCGGTACTAAAACATAATTCTTCTGACTAAGCTCCTGTTTGTTGCTCCTTCAACTAAAATTTATAAGAGCATATTCCACTTTAAAGAAAAATTGTAATTTACAAAATGTGTTATAGAATATACAGAAAAGGATAGGCTTCAAAGAGCAAATGCTTATCCTAAAAAGAAATGAAGTTAGTAGTAAAAATACAGCAGTTGATTAGAGTTTTAAAAAAATTAATGTCAAAGAGAGATGGCAGGTAATTTTCTTCAATATTGATCATAATTTTTTTAGTTAGAAAAGTAAAATTTAAAACACAAGCTTTTGACTAGAATGTTATGATTCAGACTATAAGAAATATTGTAAACATAGCATTAGCTAAAAGCAGAAAGTCGCTTAAATATAAATCCTATCATTGAAGACTAGATAGGGTCTTGTGTATGGATATCAAAATAGGAATAATTTCCCAAGCCAGGTGCCTTCTCACAAAGATTCAACTTCTGCATTCTCCAAGAGCTATATCTGAGAAATCATCATGAGCAAGAGCTCCAGAAAATAAGAATTACAGTAATCCAAGCTTAAAAAATCAGAAGCATTTACCTGCATAGCAAAAGCCTTTGTGCTGATCTGTACCCACAGCCTGGCTAGGTTTATTTCAGAACAGAAAGTTTAAAGCAATAATAGTTTCAGCCAATACAAATAAACCTGGCAAAGATTAAAAATTAGGTGTTTACTTGAATGTGAGCTCACTAATGTTTTTCTATTTGCACTAAAAGTAAACGTTATAATAACAATGATTTTAGATTACTAGATTCTAATTGCTAGTGGGAGATAACTCATTATTTGGTAGTTTAATGTAGTGAACCCTCAAATAACTGGCACGTTACAGCATAGTTGGAGATAGAGTAAATGTCTAATTATAGAATGCTAACATATTTCTGAACTGAAATAGCCCAGGCGAAAGGAAAAGGGATCAGGTATTTTAGAATTGTATTCAGCAACCCAGAGTGGCATGGTGTGACCTCCTTCTTTTCACAATCCTTTGAATGGCTTGATGTTTACAAACAAATAATGTGCTTTGTAGAACAAAAAGAATATGAATTTAATTTAAAAGAGTCTGAATTTTTAATGTTGACCCTGTTTTCTACTTAAGTAATTGTTTTGGTCTGATCATGTTTGTTACCTCATTTATAGGATGATGGGATTGAACTACATGTCCCCTAGTGCCTCTATAAGCTCTGGCATTCTAGGGCCACTTCTATTAATCTAAATATCAGTACTATTGGTTGTAAATCCTTTCAGCAATTATATCCAATAAAAAAAATTACTTCAGGTACGCATCAGTTTGTATTTTTCTCTCTCATTGTCACTTTGGAGTTGGCCATGTTTTTGCCCTTGGCCAGTGGGACATCAGCAAACATGTTATAAGCAGAGGCTTGAAAGGTCCTTGTGCATTGTATCTGCCCTTCTTGGGACCCTGACCTGGAGTTATCACATAATAAATCCTGTGCATTCCACTGAGGAATTACACGGAAGAGAACCAAGACACCAGAGCTGATAGCCAGGACTAACTGTCAGCCACGTGACTACAGCCACACTGGAGCTTCCATAGCCACTGAGTCAACTGAGAATATAAGATCTCGTCCACAATTGTTGTTATATGACAATAAGTTTCAGAATAGTTTGTTACAGGCCAATAGATAACTGACAGACCATTTGGAAAGGGCTTCACAAACAGAGAATACTGAGCTATTTCTGGAATTAGTGGTGATGTGGCCAACAGTTCTTTGTCACATGGGCTTCTCCAACATGTCAACTTGCTTCCTAAAAGCCAGAAAGGAAGAGAAGCTGCCAATAAGATGGAATCTTTAGTATTTTGTAACCTAATAATAGAAAAGATATGCCATCACTTCTGCTGTATTCGATTTGTTAATCTCTAAGTACAGCCCACACTCAAGGGCAGGGAATAACACAAAGACGTAAATGCCAAGAGATAGGAATCAATGGGGGTCATCTTAGAAATATTCCTATCATATGCCCATAGACAATGCTGAATATCATTTTAAACAGGTTTATACATAAATGAATATGCAAACATGTATTGATCAACATATATGTGCCAAGCATTGTGCTATGTGCTGGAGATACTTAGCTGGTAATAACACAGTTCTGCTTTCTAGAGCATATACTAAAGCAAGTGATATGGAGGTATAAAAATTTGAAATATACAATAAAAGTGATAAACTGCAGTTTTTATGGAATGCATGAGGTACAAATGGAATTTAAATACAGCATGATTAATTTTGTTGGTTTAGCTAGGTTAGAATTTCTTGTAAGTATGGTAACCAAGCCAGGGTTTTAGAGATGATTCATCATTTTCCATCTCTGGACTTGGAAATTATGAATCAAGAGACATTTCACATATAAAATAACATGTTCTTGTGTTCATGTGTGTATGTGTAAAGCAGATAGTAATGGCGATATAGATATGTTGATTGGTATAATTGTTCCCCCTTGATTAGTCACAAACAAAATGTGCTGTCTTGTAAAGTCTGTTGAAGAATCATCTGTCCCAGAGCCTATAGGTGACTCAGTGAAGGTCTTTAAGAGAAGGCAAATAGCCTAGGAGGTGAGAAGATCGGATTCAGATGTAAACAGGAGCCTGGATGTAATTGATCTCACAGTGGCCTCTATTTCCTAAATTGTTCAGGTTAATTGCACATTGGAGAAAATTGACCAAGTTACTAGTTTGGGACAAAACTGCTCTAAAACTAATTCTTTCAGATGGGAAAGAAGAGCTCCTTTGACACCAGGGCATTTCTAAGGATGCATCATAGAGGAGAATTTAATGATCTGTAAACTTTCACATCTGTTGACAGTTGCTCTCTGCTGTTATCGTAGAAAGTAAAGTAAGAGGAAAGTGTGATTTTTAAAATGAGTGTACCGAAGGATTTATTAAAATTATAAACAGAGGTGAAATGTATAAAACCACAGACGTGCCACTAGGGAAGGACTTTCTTGCTTGTTTTACACTGGGTAAGTGCAGTTGGTAAGTGTCGGTTTAGAATATTCAAGAACATGATTTGAATTCATAATTAAATTTAAATCCTGGCTCCATCACTTACTTGCTATGGGACCTTGAGTGAGTCTTTTAATATTATGAACCTTAGACATTCCAATCTATAAAATTGGGGTACATGTATTCTCTGATTTTTGTTGAGAAGTCAATGAAAATTTTAGTAAAAATACTTAAACGTAATAGTAATTTGAGTTTCTTTCCTTTTTTTTGTTTCATGTCCCAAGGTTTGAGGAACCCATGTCAGAATGTCTCCTATCTTACCCTCTGCTACTCCCTCTTCATATACTTAATAATCAGACAGTGTTGCCACTTGACCAAAAATCCATTATTAAAAACATGCCCCAAAGGTTATGTTGTTTCCAAGTCAAGTCAGCAATGGTGATTGTCTCCAAAGATCCCCAACACTAGTTAGGTTCTGAATTACTGGAAGAATGAGGCAAAGGAGATGACTTACCTAAAACAAAGAGAAACCCATTGAACACCAAACCATCGGTGGCCAATATTGCAAGTTTCCAAGGCCAAATACACACTTCGGCTTGATTGCCTGGGTCAAAGATCCTGAAATCCTTATTTGCGATGACATTGCTCCTGGTATTTATGAGGAGAGAGAACCTATTCATTCTCTGACTTTTAGAATTTGACTGCATGCCACCCCAAATAGCATATACTCTAGCTAAGAGCAAAACTCAGCATGAACAGATTGAAATTGTCTAGGTTCAGGATTTGGAGTAGGGCAAGGGGTGGAATGGAGCACGTTAGATCCATGTGAAGGTTTGTGAAGGGAACCTGTTATTACAGGCAGAACATTATTTCTGAATGCAAAGGCAAGAGACAAGTGGTAAGAAATTAAACCTATCAGTGTTAGAAAGTGTGTACATAGGATGGCAGTTGTTAAAAATGAATAAATGAGATATACTAGTGGACAGCAAACTAGTGGGGAGAAAGAACCATCTTCTAATGTCTCCAAATTATTGATAAGGCTCAAACTCAATAAACGTTTTTGAGAAAGAACAATTTTAAAACATTACTAAAAAAACCCAAAGAAAATCCATCTATGTTAATGGAAAGTTCTTATGGATAAATTATTCCTTAGATAGAAACTGCCTTCCCTGAACATGAGCTTGTCCTTTTTCTTAATCTTTTTCCCTGTTTCATGTGATAACATTATAAATATCCTATTCTATGCCTTCCCAACAATACCACCATACTCATAATCCCCTTTCACCCAGAATTCTTACCTCAAATGCCCTTAACCACTACTCACATATGGCTTCAAGATGTCTCTTCATTCTGTTCCTGACAAGCCATGGAATTTCCTGACTCTGCTACTTCTAAACAAGTTTTCTTAACTTTGCAGATTCTCAGTTCCACATGGATAAACTATACAGAAAACGCCTACCTTAGATCTGGAAGTTCCTGGAGATGATAATATGAGAACTTGAGTATGAATAAACTATAGAGTGTATGGGATACATCAAGAATGCAGTATTTCCTGGTTATTACTGTTATTGCTGATTTTATTTAGTATAATACTATTATAATTTCTATTATTATAACTGCTTAGCTTTCCAGACTGTAAGCTTCGTGAGCTGGAGCTTTAGCTTTCTTTATATATGCCTTACTCAATACCCAATTTAAGGTCATAATGTATAAGGTGACCAAAAGTGTTGGCAACTTGGAAGACAGACAATTTGAAAAGAAAGTCTAAGATACATTGGCAATATGAGGAAAAGGATGTCAGAGAGCTTTAATGCAGATGAAAACACATTTAGCCTTTCTCTAAGAAAATGTTGGGAGAGGTCTGCTATTATGAAGTAAATATTCCATATCTCAAAAATTATGTGGCATAAACACAAATACTTTAAATAATAATATTTAAATAATACTTTAAATAATTAAAACAAAACTTATAAAATATGAACAGGTGGCTAGGCATGGTGGTGCACATATGTAGTCCCAGCTACTCAGGAAGCTTAAGTATGAGAATCCCTTGAGCCTGCGAGGCAGAGCTTCCAGTGAGCCAAGATCGTGCCATTGCCCCCCAACCTGGGTAACAGATCAAGACTCTGAAGAAAAAAAGAAAAGAAAAAATCTTGGGAGAGCAATTAAGGATAATTCCCAATTCTCATTACAAAACCCGTTATTTAATTTGAATGCATATAGTATCAAGCTAAAATGGACTTCAAATGATTTCATGTTGGCACACTCTGAGTCGTTGTGTGGACCCCTAGTTTGAATACTCCTGATTGGCTGTCATTTTACTTTCAGATTCACTGAGCATCTCTGTACAGGATTCTCTTTTCTTTGGAAGAAAAGACCTAACTGAAGTCATGCAGAGAGAGTCATGCTTTACCTACAAGGCAGCTGAAGTGGGCAATATTGTAGCAAAAGAAGGTGTTACAGTTGCCTGTAAGAGAGGTCCCCAGGGCTGTTTAAGCAGAGGCAGAAAGAAATCACACATAAGCAACTCTCCAAGCCAACAACGTGGTACTTCTTTTTATTGATAATTATATCTTACATATCTGAATAAGCTTAGGCTCCTGAAGGTGTAAAAATGCCCCAGAGGTATAGCCACTAAAAATTAACACTCCAATGCACATCCTAATTAGGATTTAATTAGGAAAATTTTAAAAAATGCCAAGCACATGTTTTTAGCAAGTGCAGAATCACTGACTTATTGCTTGTAGGTTTTCTATATATTTTTCATTGTAAATATCCAATTATAATTGTCATTTAGGTCAGACTTTAGGAATTCAATTCTTATTCCAAATAATGAGAATTTGTTTCCTTCAGCGTAATATCCTCTAGTATAGTCTTTGTGTCTCTTAATTTACAACGCGGCCTACACAGTTCCTCCTGGTTGCATTGAATCTGGTGTTTTTGTCATGATGTGATGCATTACTCTTCAACAAAGCCCCACAACTTGTATTTACAACCATGCGTAAGGAAGAAAAAAGTGACAGTCACATCTGTGTTCTTGTTCCTGAGAGATTTGTTACAAACCATGATTGTAAAACCTCAGTTTCCTTTCTATAGTAAATGTTGGGCCTGTGCATCCAACTCTGACCAAACTTTTGGAGTGATTTATAGCATATCTGTTTTGACCTACCCCTGATAATATTCAAATTAAAGTCACGGTTGGAAAAGAACATGGTATGTGCTGTGTGAATTCCACTAAAGGTATGGAAACTGTTCCAAGTTTAATTTGTGGCCACTGACACCAGCTTTTAAAAGCCACAGCTGACAGGGAATAATGTCTGATGTTGATTTCTTAATCACACCACCATTATGGACATAATAGGTTGCTAAAGTAATAAGCGTTACTCCTTTTCTGATGGTATTTCAATGCTTTTCACAGCCACTTCTAATGACCATTGAGCTATTTGGTCTAATGAGTGAGAAGACACCAACATCTTTATTCAAAAGTCCCTAATGATAATTGCCATCTATCACCCCATTCTTCAGAGCCCGTGACATATATCCACCAAATTCCACTATCATCATCATCACTGCAGGGCTGCATCCCAATCTTGCTAGACTTGAATAATTAGGTCTAATTTATAACTGATCCAATGATGGCTATAGTAATTCTCAAATTCAGTAATTCTCAAATTCATGAATTCTCAAATTCATGTTTTCTGTTGTGTCTGAATATCACTCAACTCTAGAAAATTGTTTAAAGTTTTTTAAAGAAATCATAAATATGAATAGTGACAGCTTTAATGTCAGTTAATCAGTGAAAATTTCATACCTACATTTCTTTATATAATATGGAGTGAAGAGCAAGGAACTTGAAGGGTATAGACCTGGATTAAAGTTTTCGTTTTATCCCTTAACAGCTGTCGTAACCATTACCACGCAAGTCAGGCTCTCTGAGGCTCAGTGTTCAGTCTCTAAAACGGGAATAAGGACAGTGCTTTCCTAATATGATGGTTGCATTCTACATAAAATGGTAGCTATTATTATCATGATCTTTGTTACTACCATTATTATTCCCATCTCACATACTTCTATTTTTTACAGAGAATAAAGAACCACACGCAGTTCTTAGAATGAGAACATGACTGGGATTCCCTTATTGTGACAAATAATTCAGCCGTGAATGTGGAGTATCATTTCTAGGTCTATCACTGAGCAGCATCTGAATCTTTAAGCTTCTATACTAAAGATACCTGACTTGAGTTAGAAAGCTACCAAATTGTTGAAACATAAGAATACAAGCAGCAAAGAAGAGAAGCAGCCAATATGTAGAATACACACAGGTGTAAGGCACTAAGCTAAGAATTTTGGCTTGTTATCTCATATTTATGTTCACGAAAATCGTATGAAGGAGATCACAATATTTCTATTGAATATCTAAATAATCTAAGGCTTCTAGAGATAAAGTAAGTCTAATTTCAAGCAGCTACTAAGTGGTAAGAATGTTGTGGTTCATTCCAAGATCTAAAGATACATAAACTGTGTGACCTTTCAAAGAATGTATGAATTACATTCTGGTTAAGACAGATACTAAAGGAATGAATTCAAAAAATGCATGGAAAGAAACAACAATGACATGTGCAATATAAAATTTGCAGGTACTGGAGCACAGCAGAAACCAGAATGTTTCTTTGCATACATTTAAGGCTAAACATACAGCAATATGAAAATGGCATGCAAAAGTAAAAATTTAACCTTTGGCCTATATTTGATATTGATCAGACTCAAATTAAAAATGTTTGTCCTGTTTTCCCATATACATAATATAAAAAAGAAAAGGTGAATATTTAATAAGAGTGATGTGATAGGGACTATATCATATTAGAGGTTATCAGGGAAAAAATCCAAAAGGGAAGCCATTTAATTTTTAAAATAGAAAGTTACTTCACATAGACACAGATCTATCCTCAATATTCTGAAGTGAGAAGCACACATTTAAAAATCACATTTATAATTAAGGTAGAATTCAGTTACAATAAAGTAACTGAATTCTCTCTTATTGAAAATATTTAAATGTGGCTAAGAAACAATGATATGGTTTCCACCTCCAGTCTGGGAATAACTCCACATTAACCTTGTTAATTTTCACTTTATAGTTATAGACAATTGCAAAATGAATGATCACAATATTTTACCTTTTCTTGTAAAGAGATGGAGCCTACTTTCTCATATCTTCAATATGGGCTGGCCTTGTGATATACTCAGCATGTGAGAATCCTAAGCCCAACCCTCAAGAGATCTCAAAGCTTCCTTTCTTGTTGCTCTTGAACTCCTTTGTTCACTATGTGAACAAACCAAAGCAAGCCTACTAAAGATGATATGGAGACAGGACCCAACGATGCCAGCCATTACATCATAGACCATCCTGCCCCAAAAAACCCACCAGATGATCACAGACGCTAGGATCTAGCTGGTATCAGCTAAGCCTGGCCCAAATCTGAAGAACTGCCCTCCTCATCTCCGTCCAGATTGTTAACCCACAAAATTCTATGCTAAATAAATGGCTGTCATTTCCCATTACTAAATTTTGGGGTGATTTATTATGCAGCAGAAGTTAACTGATAAAAATTAGTTCAAACTACTTAAATGTGCCAATTTTATGAAATACTTCCCAAAATGCAAAAATATTCTAATATTTTGAGAAATTTAAGCAGCTCTCCATTTCCTTCCTAGGAGAATTTTTATCTGATTTTTGAATAGATAATGCACTTACATGATTCAAAATTCAAAATCTACAAAAGTGTATAGAATAAAATTCTCTTTCCTTTTTCTATTCCCTAGATATCCAGTTACCCACAGGAAAAGTTATGTTATCAGATTCTAAGGCATACTTCCAGGAATATTTTAACCTTTTAAAAGATGTGTGTGATATAAGATGCACGTGTTCTAATTCCCAGTCTTCTCTTTGAGATCTTCATGACTAAAATCTCCCCCATTTTCAAGTAGTGGCCCAAACAATCCTTTTAAAACGAGCTGCATTCTCATCTCTCTACTTGATTTATATGCTGGCTTCCAAAGACTTGGAACCCTCCTAAGTGGTTTTTATTTTTCAAACCACAATACCACGAATGTACTATGTATATTGTTCATTGTAGTTAATATTTGCCTTTACCTTTGTATGTTCCTTGATGAAAAGGGTAATTTTATGCTGTGTCTGGATATAGTTAAAGCACCTACTATGTTGTGTACATATAGTAGGTGCTCAGTCAATTCTGTTAAATCAATGACAGCATCCTGAAGATGAGAAAAATCTGATGAAGATATCATAAAGAAAAATCAAAACTATACCTTGGTGTCAGATTCAGGGTAACAGTATAAGTTGATACAACTAATAATTATTTATTCAACTAATATTTTTTGAACGCAAGGAAATGTTTCTTGGTGTTATAATGAATGAAATGATTAAGCAGACATGTCTTTGCCCTCTAACTGATTGAAGGTTCATAGAGGTGATAGTCAGAGAGGTATATTATAAAATGCCTGCTACCTACTAGGATATTGATGGCTGGCTAAAATAAAGCTGCTAAAAGTGTTGTACCCTAATAACTCAATGAATCAGAAAAAATTAAGTACTGTGAGTGGCATAGACAAATTGCTGACAATTCAGAAGAGTGATTACTTTCTATTAGAATAATAAGAGAGCCTTCATACAGGCAAGGGTTGTATTTGAGTTGGGCATTGAAGGATCTATAGAACTGAGAAAAGGAAGGTTACCCAGGCTAGTCTTGCACTCCTGACCTCAGGTGATCCACCTGCCTTGGCCTCCCAAGGTGCTGGGATTACAGACATGAGCCACCGCACTTGACCTACTTTACTTTCCCTTAACAGCTACTTAGTAGTCCCTAGTACAGAAACACCCAAGTTCTTAAGCCAGGTCCCTATGAATGGGCATGAAAGTGGGTTCTTATATATAAATTTTTATTGCTACGAACTATGAGGTGGGAGGATCATTTGAACCTGAGAGAAGGACAGTGGAGCAAGACATGATTGTGCCACTGTACTCCAGCCTGGGCAACAGAGAAAGACCCTGACTTAGAGAAAAAAGTAGTTGACTTTCCCAAGGAAATTTGGGAGTCCACATTTTTTTTTCTCATTAAAGATAAAGCCTAACAGGTATAATCTGGATAAGAGATTATCAATTTGGGAAGGTCATTTAAGGTTGGTACAAACATAATAGTTGAAATAATAATAGATTTCATATGTGGAAATATCAGATGAGGAGGCTGAGAAGCCCAATTTATAATTTTCAGTGTACACCTGGGAAGCTTACATTTTATCCTATGTATTGTAAACCCAATTATTTTTAAAAATATTTAAGAAAACACTTTAAAAATGTTTAAAAATATTTAAGAAAACACTTTAAAAAATTTTAAAAATAGAGTAATAATATGCTGAAGTTCTTATTTTAGGAAGAAGTTTTTGGACACATGGACAGTGGGCTGTCATAGAATAAAATTAAGAGAGAATATGGCTAGTTAGATTAATAAAATTCCAAGAAAAATGAAGAAATAATGAGAGAAGTTATACTGGGGAGAGAAATAAAGTATTATTTTAAGAAATATTAAGAAGTAACAATTGATTTGGAAGTCAGGGAGACACTTTAAGGATGCTTTTTCTAGGATTCTAACTTGGATGACTGAGTGAATAGCAACATCTAAACATGATATAAAGAAAATGCAGGAGAAGGCACAATTTTGGAAACTGTGTTGGAAGGGTGGGTAGAGGATGTTTAATACATTCACTTTTAGTCTTGTCAAATTTGAACTGCCAATGGGATATGTATTTGATGATATCCAATGCACAGTTGGAGCTGAGTGCCTGAAGCATCAGAGAGATGAGGTGTCAATTTCCAGGTTATCAGCATGGAAAAAGCAGTTAAGAATATGGGCAGAGATGTACATTGGACAAATACCAAGATAGAAAACCTAGGAAGCACTGCCAAACACTAGATCTGGAGGGAAATTCAATGAAGACATAGAAGAACAAGTACAAATGTTAGGAGGAGAACAAAGAGAAACTTTTATAAGAAAAACAGATGAAGGGTTTAAAGATGAGAAAACATCAAATCTAGTCAGTATCGTAGACTAAATTAACTTCAGATTTTTCTCTGTCGCTCTAAATTCAGTCATAGTAGATAAATATATTTAAAAAAATACACAGTTAAGCTTGAAAGCAAGAAAACAAGCCTCCAGGGGGCTAGAACTTAGAAGAAATTCTAAGATGTAAGAAAATTTAGAATAAGTAAAAAAAAAAAAATTACTGAGTGTCACCAAAGGAAAACTAGGCATTGTTCAAACACATTTTTCTGTTATCTGATTCTAACGTTTCACTGCCTTTGGAAATATTTTATAATTCTATAAATTATTGAAAGCTGATAACAATGCAAAATAATTCCTGTCTAGAGTCATGCCAGTATATTTTT
This sequence comes from Homo sapiens, assembly GCF_000001405.40. Classification (NCBI taxonomy): domain Eukaryota; kingdom Metazoa; phylum Chordata; class Mammalia; order Primates; family Hominidae; genus Homo; species Homo sapiens. The sequence goes on from NC_000016.10 coordinate 60,825,778, forward strand.
TCAGTGGTGGTTAAATAGACTCCTCTCATCCTTTGAAAAAAAGTTAGTTTTATATCCATTTGTAAATTTATGTCAACATTCCTTTATTCCCCCCAAATTTTTGCCTCTTTGACTTCTATTTTGAGCCTCTTGTAACATCTGCCAAATTGATTCATTAAGTGATTAAATAGGGTATTAATTACATATTTATCTTATATCTACACAAAAGCTATGCTCACATTTAAATAATATGTATTCTTAACAAAGGTGAGAGGAAACAATCTGAACAGCCAAAATGTGATGGAACCACACATTCTTTAGGGACTGAATGGTCTCCTATTCAAAAATGGGACACCAAACCTCAGACTCCTGTGTGATAGAAGACAGGATCCTCAAAAGTCTCTCCTATTTATACAAGACAATTTGAAGAATTCACATATTGGTCATGCAGGTAGCAAAGAAACTAGATCTTAGCTAGTGCTATAGATGGAAAATGAAGTCTTCATTTAGGAAAAGAATCTAAGCTTGTTCTATAAGAGACTGAGGCACTTTCATTCCCATTATCTATGTGGCATTGTGACTCTCAAGTTGAGAATAAACATAAAAGTTGTTTCAGAATGTGGAAACACTTAAATGACAAATATGAAAGCACTCTGTAGGAATGCATCTATGACCTAGATGAATCTCCCAAAAATAGTTTCTCTGAAACTTCTTGTGGAAAAAAAGTACTAATCATTGCAACAATGATTAAAAAATCATACTGCAAAATTAATGATAAGGCAACAACCTCAAAGAAATTTTATTCAAAGGGATCTTATTTCTTTGAATATTTCAAAAATATTTTATTTCTAAGAAGGAGTAGAATTCTTGAGGTAAGAATCCTGTAAAGCAAAGAGTGGATTTTTAAATGTAGAAAATTTTTAGAAATGAAAAAACTTACTAGAAAAAATAAGTGGCAGTTTTAAGCACTAAATTAGATGTAAACAGAGTTAATAAATTGTCTGCTAGAGTTGAAAAAATTATTCAAATAGAGTAAAAGAACAAAAAAATGTGAAAACATAAAAGGGAAACTGAGAAATGTAAAAGACAAATAAGCTTGATTTTCCTAGTAAAGCATCCATACATAGGAAAAAGGTAATATAAGAGATGTAATAATAGAAAACAGATGAGAATTTTACAGCATTTTAATGAAAGAGCTATAACCTTAGAGTTAAAAAGCCCGGCAGGGATCATGCAACATACATAAAAATAAGCCTACACAGAGACATTTTTAAGTTACCCCGGCAAAACCTCAAAGACAAACAGGTAAGTCAAGCTTTCTGCAAGATTGTCACTTATCTTTATGATAAGAGCTTAGTGTCTTTTGGATTATAAATATAAAATAAAGTGTAGACTTCAGGATAATTTTTATAAAATGTAATTTCCTTTCTCTAATCAATTCCAATTGAAGCAAAATGCTTATTGTTCTTGCTTTCTAAGGGGCTTAAGAGTTTACAGTTGATAATTTGAAGAATAGATAGTCAAAAAATGTGGCCTCTGAATTATAATAATAAGTAGAGAGGTAAAAAAAATGACAGAAATAGACATATGAGATAGAGATGGGGATAGAGAGAAAGAGAAGTGTATTTAACATGGCAGATTAATTAGTAATAATTAAGGAAAGCCTTATTTTGAGGTTTTGCAGGTTACCAGGAAATGTCTAGGTGTAGGTTTATTTTTATGTATGTTGCATGGTCCCTGGTAGGCTTCTTAATTCTGAGGTTATATTTCTTTCCTTAGAATGTTGTAAAATTCTCATTTTTTTCCTGTTATTACATCTCCTATATTACCTTTTTTCTACCTATGAATGCTTTACTAAGTAAATTAAGCTTATTTCTTTATCTTTTCCATTTCTCAATTTTATGAGTCAGCTTGACTGGACTTGGAGATGCCCAGATATCTGGTAAAACATTATTTAAAGCTGTGTGTTAGGGAGTGTTTCTAGAATAAATTAGCTTTTGAATTGGAAAACCAAGTAAAGAAGAATGCCTTCACAAATGTAAATGTAAGGGCAGAGAAATATGGATGTACTCTCCGAGCTGGGACATCCATCTTCTTCTACCCTTGGACATCAATACTCCTAGTTTTCAGGCACTCAGACTGAATTATTCTCTCGTTATCTTTTTTAAATAAAAGGATAAAGTTGGGATACTTTGAAAAGTAGATTTTTAAAAAAATATATAATAGTGCTGATTCTGGCTGATTCTCTAGTCAAAAATACTGTGTGTTGAGGGGAAAGAACTTCAAATAATTATTTTCTTAAGAAGTGCAGAGAGGGCATCCCTGTCTTGTGCCAGTTTTCAAAGGGAATGCTTCCGGTTTTTGTTCATTCAGTATGATATTGGCTGTGGGTTTGTCACAGATAGCTCTTATTATTTTGAGATACGTCCCATCAATACCTAATTTATTGAGAGTTTTTAGCATGAAGCGTTGTTGAATTTTGTCAAAGGCCTTTTCTGCATCTATTGAGATAATCATGTGGTTTTTGTCATTGGTTGTTCATATGCTGGATTACGTTTATTGATTTTCATATGTTGAACCAGCCTTGCATCCCAGGGATGAAACCCACTTGATCATGGTGGATAAACTTTTTGATGTGCTGCTGGATTTGGTTTGCCGGTATTTTATTGAGGATTTTTGCATCGATGTTAATCAGGGATATTGGTCTAAAATTCTCTTTTTTGTTGTTGTGTCTCTGCCAGGCTTTGGTATCAGGTTGATGCTGGTCTCATAAAATGAGTTAGGGAGGATTCCCTCTTTTTCTATTGATTGGAATAATTTCAGAAGGAGTGGTACCAGCTCCTCCTTGTACCTCTGGTAGAGTTCGGCTATGAATCCATCTGGTCCTGGACTTTTTTTGGTTGGTAAGTTATTAATTATTGCCTCAATTTCAGAGCCTGTTATTAGTCTATTAAGAGATTCAACTTATTCCTGGTTTAGTCTTGGGAGGGTGTATGTGTCAAGGAATTTATCCATTTCTTCTAGATTTTCTAGTTTATTTGCATAGAGGTGTTTATAGCATTCTCTGATGGTAGTTTGTATTTCTGTGGGATCAGTGGTGATATCCCCTTTATCACTTTTTATTGCATCTATTTGATTCTTCTCTCTTTTCTTCTTTATTAGTCTTGCTAGCAGTCTATCAATTTTGTTGACCACTTTAAAAAACCAGCTCCTGGATTCATTGATTTTTTGAAGGTTTTTTTGTGTCTCTATTTCCTTCAGTTCTGCTCTGATCTTAGTTATTTCTTGCCTTCTGCTAGCTTTTGAATGTGTTTGCTCTTGCTTCTCTAGTTCTTTTAATTGTGATGTTAGGGTGTCAATTTTAGATCTTTCCTGTTTTCTCTTGTAGGCATTTAGTGCTACAAATTTCCCTCTACACACTGCTTTGAATGTGTCCCAGAGATTCTGGTATGTTGTGTCTTTGTTCTCGTTGGTTTCAAAGAACATCTTTATTTCTGCCTTCATTTCATTATGTACCCAGTAGTCATTCAGGAGCAGGTTGTTCAGTTTCCGTGTAGTTGAGCGGTTTTGAGTGAGTTTCTTAATCCTGAGTTCTAGTTTGATTGCACTGTGGTCTGAGAGACAGTTTGTTATAATTTCTGTTCTTTTATATTTGCTGAGGAGAGCTTTACTTCCAAGTATGTGGTCAATTTTGGAATAGGTGTGGTGTGGTGCTCAGAAGAATGTATATTCTGCTGATTTCAGGTGGAGAGTTCTGTAGATGTCTATTAGGTCCACTTGGTGCAGAGCTGAGTTCAATTCCTGGGTATCCTTGTTAACTTTCCGTCTCGTTGATCTGGCTAATGTTGACAGTGGAGTGTTAAAGTCTCCCATTATTATTGTGTGGGAGACTAAGTCTCTTTGTAGGTCACTCAGGACTTGCTTTATGAATCCGGGTGCTCCTGTATTGGGTGCATGTATATTTAGGATAGTTAGCTCTTCTTGTTGAATTGATCCCTTTACCATTATGTAATGGCCTTCTTTGTCTCCTTTGATCTTTGTTGGTTTAAAGTCTGTTTTATCCGAGACTAGGATTGCAACCCCTGCCTTTTTTTGTTTTCCATTTGCTTGGTAGATCTTCCTCTATCCCTTTATTTTGAGCCTATGTGTGTCTCTGCACGTGAGATTGGTTTCCTGAATACAGCACACTGATGGGTCTTGACTCTTTATCCAACTTCCCAGTCTGTGTCTTTTAATTGTAGCATTTAGCCCATTTATATTTAAGATTAATATTGTTATGTGTGAATTTGATCCTGTCATTATGATGTTAGCTGGTTATTTTGCTTGTTAGTTGATGCAGTTTCTTCAAAATTAATTCAAGATGGATTAAAGACTTCAATGTTAGACCTAAAACCATAAAAACCCTAGAAGAAAACCGAGGCAATACCATTCAGGACATAGGCATGGGCAAGGACTTCATGTCTAAAACACCAAAAGCAATGGCAACAAAAGCCAAAATTGACAAATGGGATCTAATTAAACTAAAGAGCTTCTGCACAGCAAAAGAAACTACCATCAGAGTGAACAGGCAACCTACAGAATGGGAGAAAAATTTTGCAATCTACTCATCTGACAAAGGGCTAATATCCAGAATCTACAAAGAATTCAAACAAATTTACAAGAAAAAAACAAACAGCCCCATCAACAAGTGGGTGAAAGATATGAACAGACACTTCTCAAAAGAAGACCTTTATGCAGCCAAAAGACACATGAAAAAATGTTCATCTTCACTGGCCATTAGAGAAATGCAAATCAAAACCACAATAAGATACCTCTCACACCAGTTAGAATGGTGATCATTAAAAAATCAGGAAACAACAGGTGCTGGAGAGGATGTGGAGAAATAGGAACACTTTTACACTGTTGGTGGGACTGTAAACTAGTTCAACAGTTATGGTAGTCAGTGTGATGATTCGTATAGGATCTAGAACTAGAAATATCATTTGACCCAGCCATCCCATTACTGGGTATATACCCAAAGGATTGTAAATCATGCTGCTATAAAGACACATGCACACGTATGTTTATTGTGGCACTATTCACAATAGCAAAGACTTGGAACCAACCCAAATGTCCAACAGTGATAGACTGGATTAAGAAAATGTGGCACATATACACCATGGAATACTATGCAGTCATAAAAAATGATGAGTTCATGTCCTTTGTAGGGACATGGATGAAGCTGGAAACCATCATTCTCAGCAAACTATTGCAAGGACAAAAAAACAAACACCGCATGTTCTCACTCATTGGTGGGAATTGAACAATGAGAACACATGGACACAGGAAGGGGAACATCACATACCGGGGCCTGTTGTGGGGTGGGGGTAAAGGGGAGGGATAGCATTAGGAGATATACCTAATGTTAAATGAGGAGTTAATGGGTGCAGCACACCAACGTTGCACATGTATACATATGTAACTAACCTGCACGTTGTGCACATGTACCCTAAAACTTAAAGTATAATTTAAAAAAAGAAAAGAAAAGAAAAAAAAAGAAGTGTAAATAATTGTCTGCTTGTACTTTTAACATATTTCTATCAAACCATCTTTAAAATTATGGACTACCATCCACAAATATGTTTTGTAATATTTGTAATATATACCTACTCACTAGGAGCATTTTCAAGTTTGAGACTGGGAAGCTTGATTTCAATGCCTTTTACTTTTCTGCAGACTCATATGGTATTGTTTCTCATCTCAGTGAATAGTGTCAAAAATAGAGTAAAAAGAGACTCTGGTTATTTTATTAGTACATGAAAGATACATCTAGGCTCAGGGATTTGGTAGACATTCAGAAATAATTACTAGGTCGCTTGAGTCAAGAAGCAAACTTTTCCAAGTGAAATGTAGTGCTCTATTTAAAAAAAATCTACATTCTCTTTCTGACAAGTGAAGTGAGTTGTTGAATGCAGAGAAAGAAAAGGTATGCTACTTTAATTATCTTGAGCATTAAATACCCAATGGCAAAACTGTCACATGTAGATTTTAAAATTAACCTATTTTAAAACCAAGATGCAGTATGATGTCAGGGGTGAGATTTAGGCTAAGAAAAACCTGAATTTTAATTTTAGCTCTAGTCAACACATTTAATTAAGCCATTTTATTGAAAAACTGGAGATAAAATGCTTACCAAATGATAATACAAGAAATAAGTGAAAAAACATTTAAAAGACCTTTCCACTTTTTGTGGGCCCTTGGGTACTGTATTTTTGAACAACTGGTCTAAGAATTTCTTCAGATCCATGCTCTTTGTAAATTCTCTATTCTTTTCTTCCCTGGTACTACTGTAACTTTTTAAGCTTTTGGGAGCATTTCAATGTCCTTCTAAAGCATGATCTTTGCTATGGATTCCTTTCCACTCTGCCCACTTCTCTGTTCCTGCACTGAATTAGTCCTTCTAAATTTATGCCAATATAATCAAGTGTTCCTCATACTTGTCACCCTTCACTGTTGCCTAATCCTCACTTTCTGCCATGCTATGGTAGACCCTTGTCATTCTAGCTCCTAACCCTCTCATCATCGCCTTTACTAAAATCACTAACCATTTTTATAAACATCTTATGCTCTTTTACAACTCACCACCCTTGTTCATGTCAGCTCCATTGTTTTTCTCCAACTGATAAACTCATGATCAGTTTTACAAGCTAGGTTTACTTGTAACAGTCTCATTGATTAATTCTTAGAGATTCACACTCACACATAACTCATGATGTCTAACACACTTATATATATACCTTATTATAGTACTTAACATATTTAGAGTCCTCTCCCCTATTGTAATAAAACCCCTTGATATCAGGAAGTGCAGCTATTCATGATTCTACTCTAGGATTTACAATATAGTACACAATTGCTAGATATCTGCTGTGCAAATGATGAACTGAAAGCCACATAAGACACAATGTAAGCCGGGCATGGTGGCTCACACCTGTAATTCCAGCACTTTGGGAGGCTGAGGCGGGTGGATCACCTGAGGTCAGGAGTTCGAGACCAGCCTGGCCAACATGGTGAAACCCTGTGTCTACTAAAAGTACAAAAATTAGCCAGGCGTGGTGGCAGGCACCTGCAATCCCAGCTACTCAGGAGGCTGAGGCAGGAGAATTGCTTGAACCCGGGAGGCAGAGGTTGCAGTGAGCTGAGATCATGCCACTGCGCTCCAGCCTGGGCGACAAGAGCGAGACTCCATCTCAAAAAAAAAAAAAAAAAAGAAAAAAGACCTAATATATACTTAACTATGATACTACTATTTTAGGGAAAATATATATTTTAAAAGATGTCTGTAAACAAAGAGTAAAAATCTGAGCAATTGGTTCTGTTCTTCATATTATTTTCTAAAAGTTTACTGATGGTAATGATTGCAGGTTTATTCCAGCCTTCTATGTCCGGGATGCAGTGACACTGCCCCTTAAGGAGAAATTCCTTAAAAAGCAAAGCTGTGTGAAACACATTCCACTGGGCAAACAGCCTGCTTTGTAAACAACCTCAAAGTCTCATAATCATATCAGTGCACCTGGAATTTCAGGGTTGCAAAGTGAATAAATATTTGCCAAAAGTCAGAAAGCCTTCAGAATCAGCTTCTATAATCTAAATATCAGCTATCTAGAAAAATAAATTAAATCTATCAATCAATCAATAAAGGCTTATTTTAATTAGGTGGCAGTATTTCCACTCCACTCTGAGTAGTCATTGGTAATATAATAATTAAAGACTTGGCTATAGGTTTGTCTCTCAGGTTTGAACTTACAACAATTTAACCAAGTTTGACTTGAACTAAGTTGAAACTTTCCAAAGGGTCTTTCTAATCTCCATAAGTTCAAATCTTATTACTACAAAATATGTAACACAAAGAAGTTACATTTTTTTGAGCTTTGAATAGTATTTTATAGGGATCTCACGTGTAAAATTCCCTTAATAGGTTTTTCAAGTTTGGAACCAGAAAACCATCACCTTTTCTGACCAGTCAACTTTAATCTGGTTGGTTATTCTGATGTCAGTAGGTTCTCTGTGATCTTACAGTATTTGATGCTTTTTTTCTCTTCTCTATACCAAAGTTCTTAATTGTTCCAAAATGTCAGCTTTTTTATAGCCCAAAATTGTTTGCTAATATGTTAACCAATGAACATGTAGTTAAACATAGTACAGATTTATATCTTGATTTCATATTGATTTAAGTCAAAATCTTTCCCATTTGGTAGTACTTCCAGTCAGAGCTGGCCTGAGGCAAAATTGTGAAGTAGGTTAAGCTGCTTTTAGCTTCATCTAGATTTCTTTACGGGTCTATGTAGGAGGATAGTATTTTTCAAACTGAAGATAATTATTTTTTCTGAAAAGAAGGCTCCTTTACACTCAAGATGAAATATAAAGGAAATGACCACTGATGTCAGATGTATCTTACGAATTCTATTTTTTTAATGCTTACAAGGGTTCTTTACTGAGTAATGTTTGAATATAAAAATGTTAGAGAAGTCAAATTTATGCCGCAGATTTTACATTCTTTAATAATTGCTTCTGTAATGAGATGGTACTAGTGCAGGGAATTCAAAGTCAATAGAAAATGGTCACTGCCCAATAAGAGATGACAACCTAGTGTATCTGATAAGGTCAGAAGCTTGTAAATGGCCTTAAAATGCCACTACAAATCCCAGCACTTTGGGAGGCAGAGGCAGGCGGATCACCTGAGGTCAGGAGTTTGAGACCAGCCTGGCCAACATGGCAAAACCTTGTCTCTACTAAAAGTACAAAAATTAGCCAGGCTTGGTGGCAGGTGCCTGTTATCCCAGCTACTCAAGAGGCTGAGGCAGGAGAATCGCTTGAACCCGGGAGGCGGAGGTTGCAGTGAGCCAAGGTCATGCCACTGCACTCCAGCCTGGGCAACAAGAGAGAGACTCCGTCTCAAAAAACAAAACAAAACAAAACAAAACCAAAAAAACAAAAACAAACAAACAAACAAAAACCAATGGAACTACAAAGATAGAAACAGAATACTGTGGGAATGTAGAACACTAATTGCCTATCTATACCAAATGAGGAAGCTGGAGTTAAGTTTTGAAAGAATCCTTGAGATTTCTAGGAAGGTCAGGGCAAGGGGGATATGATTTTCTGTGGGGAGAAGTAATGACAATAAATCCTGAATGTTCTTGGCATGTACAAAGCATAGTTCATCTGTCCATGTGACATGAAGTATTCATGGAAGGTGAAGCTAGAAGTGAAAATTCAGGGCCAGATTACAAGTGATGAATGCCTTATATCAATCATTGTTGGGATTCACTTTATAGGCAACAGGGAATTATTTGAAAGAAGTCCTAAGCGAGAAGTGACATCAAAAGGTGAGATTACTGGAGTCAAACTATGACAGCTAGAGAGCTATAAGCCTCTTCACTAAAACATGGGGAGGGGATATGTGGGGATGTGAGGCTTTTAGGAGTTAACTCTGAGATAGAATTCTGTGGCCTTGATAGGGGTGTGTGTGTGTGTGTATTTGTGTGTGTGTGTGTATTTGTGTGTGTGTGTGTGTGTGTCTTTGTGTCTAGAGGAGAGAATAACTCAAAGAGAGGATGAAAATTTACTTCAGATTCCCCCAGAGGGCAACTTAAATACAAAAATTCAAGCACAGGTAGTTTATTTGGGAGGTAATTCCAGAAAACACTGAAAAGGCAGTGTGAAAATGCCTAAAGGAAGTAAAGGCAGCCAACAGAGGGTTCATTATCATCCTAGTCAACACTGTGTGACAAGAACTTGATCCTGTAGGAAAACTTTAGAGAAGAATATTAAATACACAACTAAAGTTACCTTAACTGCAGGGTGAGGAAGATGAAATATTTATACACCAATAGACTTCTGTTCATTGTTCACCACTAAGTGACGCTAACACAGCTTCATGTTTGTACTTTGGCCTGCCATGGTGTGGACAGTCTTCCAGAAAAAAGAGGCGAGTATTAACAGTTGGAAAGTGGCTGAGGACAGCTTCATGGTGAGGTCCCAGGTATATAGTCAGGACAGCAACAGAATCTATGAAACCTAGGATGGCAATAGTGTTTGCCGATTTAGAGGTGAATCTTTTTTTTGTTTCTTTTTGTTTGTTTAACCTTTCCTAGTCCAACAGTGTCAACAGTATATATTATAATTGCATGCTAAATCTTTGTACTCTTATGCCTGTTGCTTTTTTAATAAGAAAGTTGAATTTTGTCATTCAATATAAATCACAATATTGCTCCAATTATTTAGTCATTTGAACTAGTCTTTGTTAACTGTATTCCTATAGCTCTGACTCTATGAAGGTTTCATTTTTATGGCCATTCCAATTAGTAGTGGCTTCCTTGAACACCATGATAAGATGGATTCTGATGCTGCATTTGCACTTGGAGAAAAGAGAGCCATAGGCAGGAATGACATAGGGTGAGACACAGCTAGGTATTTGTTATGTTTCATTAGCAATTTATGTTCCCTTCTATTATTTTAAAAAATGATAAAATGTTTGCTTATCTGCCCAGGCTTGAGATGAAAGACAAGACCTTATTATTCTTTATGTACCCAAAGGTTAGGACATAATAAGCAACTAATAAATGCCTGGTCAGTCTCTTCTACTGATACATTCTGAAAAAAAAAAAGAATATCTTATATACTCTCCATAAAAATATCCTATATACTGTCTCCTACTAATACATTCTGAAAAAAAAAAACTATCTTATATACCCTCCATCATAGTTGCAAATTGCTGCAGATTTTTCTAGATATGTCAACACACCGGGGTTATCTGACCTCGCATTACATTTTTTTAAATGTTGTCTTAATTTATCTGAATAAAACAGCTTTCCCACCCCGCCCCTAAAAACATGTAATAGACAAACAGTACCTCAGCAGAACTGATAGGGTTACACTTAACTTTTTGCACATGGATGCTAAAAGTTTTTTTCTAAATAAAGGCTAAAGTTAAGTGACGAATAGAAACAACAGGATATAAGAAATGAATAAGAAAAGAATGGACCAAAAGCCATGGAAGAATGAAAGGTTGGAGGTTAGGAAAGAAGGGCAGTTTAGAAACATCAGCATGCTCTGGTGCCTCCTGTCACTTTATGTTATGTGTGGTCCTGGAGTACACATGGAGCCCCATCAGAGTCGTGATGATAATTCCCATCCAAGGTTGCCATACCATTTTGTCTTTGCTTTTAGCGTTGATTTTACTTGACAAGAAAATGTTCCCAATATAGAAGAGCGATTTAAAAACATGGAGTTTGAGTCAGGAATATATGAAGTCAAATCTCATCTCTATGCCTTTATTGATTGTGGGAGGGTGAGCAAGTTTTAATTTTTCATATACTCCTTCTCCCCCCATTTCTTCAACTGACAAATAAGGTGATCCATACCTCTTAGGTATTTTGATTTGTTTGTTTTGATAAAGATCAAATGTGGAAGAACTTTAAAGAGCTAGTAAGGAACAGGGCAGAGACTGAAACTTTTTTCTGCTTACAATGAAAATTTTGGGGAGAGAGAGAGAGAGAGCACATTGTGAACACCAAAAAAATTATAATGTCATGCAGGAAGATAATACAGCTAACATTCCCTCTTTATGATGCCAGCTCTATTACCAATGATCACAAAACATTGCTCAATATAGCAGAACTAACTTCTATATTAAGACCAGGCATGCAACCAAAGAGTCTTATTTTTAACTGAGAATTACCATGAGAGAACGGGAAGATAAATAAGCTAACAGTGGGTGCTTTTATGCAAGTCTACCCGTGCCACAAAGCTTAGTTGTCTATCTGAGTAACATACTGACTGACCTCTAAAGAATACTATTTAGTTGGTTATATGAGCTACATAGGTGATCCACAAATAATGCACAGAACTCTTGTGACACACGTAAATATTCATGGAATATTCCCTTTTATTAGAAAATTATAATTATGTTATCCATTAAGTTCTCTTTTTTCCTGGACACAAAGTCCTTGAAAACTAAACTTAATTCTCAGTCACAGTAAGTTATTTGTCTATGATTATTAATATTCTTGCTTCCTTTTCCTTTTCAGAACCTGTACTTTTCAATTTCGTTTATTCATTCAATCAGCTTTAAGTATGCATTTTGTTTCCAGTATTAAGATTGTAAGTGAGAAGAAGGGAATTATGATCACTGCATTCATGAAACTTAAATTTCATAATTTCTGTGACTATTTAGTAAAATTGTTTGTGCAGGTAGGCAACATATGGAAAACAAATGCAGTATCAGAGAAAGGAAACTGAAAAATAGAGAAGCATTTTCTGTATCTTTTTCAATGATAGAAATTAACATGCACATTCACAAACACTCAGACCAATTTCGTCTTGAGTTGCATTCTTAGTTAAATGGTATTTTTTACTATATATACATACATGTATATACATATACATATATATACATATACACATATATATGTATTATATATGTAGATACAAAGAGAGAGAGAGAGAGAGAAGAGAGAGACCCATCTTTTGGCCCCCAGTGAGAATTATGTGGGAGGGAGACAGTGTTTTGGGCGTAATAATCTAGTAAAGTTTTTTTTCCTAAATTTATTGACCCAGGGAGATCCCTTAATGGTCAAAACTGTTCATCTTTTCTCCTTTATTTTCACATATATTTCTTGCTTTCTCAGTGTGCATCTATTACTTTACTCTGTGTAGACCTCATCTTTTTACAAAAAGTTCTTATAATAGAGAAAAGTCTTTATTTAGAAAAAGATTATTGCCATTTTCTGTGTGTATAAAATGTGTAAACACACACACACCATATACTGGCTGGTAAGTGGAACTACCTTCTTCATAACAACCTGTGTAACATATGACATCAGTCAGATTTTATAGAAAACACAACTAAGGTGACCAGAAGTAAAAAATTCACCTAATGTTAATCAGCTGGTAAAAGACATTACCTGACATGTATAATGCTAAGATCCTTGTTATTCTCTTTTTGCACTTCATTTATTCATTAACAAATATTTATTAGGCTCTTAAGATGTGCCATATATTGTTCTAGGTTTTGAGGATACAACAGTGAAAAAATAACACATAAAAATCTATGTTTCATGAAACTTATATTCCGATGGGGATGAAGATAGACAATGAAAATAATAAAGACAGAATAATATGCCATATTGTTATAAGTGTTATGGAGCAATCTAGAGCAGGGAAGGAGAATAGAAACCACCATGGTCATATTAAGAAGAAAATATATAATTAAAGACAAAAGAATGTGAATGAATGAAAAGACCCAAAGACTATCTGGAATCCAGATTACAGAACAAAGCCTTTCCCTTTTGACCATCAAATCGCAGATCTCAGAACTTATCATGCAAGCTTGTGTTGGCTGCATCTCTTTGTCAATTTTCTCATCCAGCTGACAAATGTGTGTCCCAAACTACTTCTAATACTCATCCCGTGTCATGACTCATTTTAACCTCTGTCTCTAGCCTGGATGATTCTCTTCTTCTTCTCATATCTTTCTTAGTTTTAGTTTCTTTCTACCTTTTACCCTTTTTTGCAAATTTCTCTCAAATAGAAATTCTTTCTACTGTGCACAAACATATGACTATAATCAGGTCACTTATTTAAGTCACACATTCAAATTGTAATGAAAGTTTATCAAAAATAAATCAAGGAGGGCAAGCATTTTGAAAATTGTTTTATGAGGCTGTTGGCTGATTACCTTTCTAACTCTCTAACTGGCCTCATTTCTTTTAGATACTGAAAATATGCTAATTTTCATGGCAGATATCCTGTGTTTGTTTGCAAAAAAAGTAGCAGTGTGCTCTGCTGAGATGGGAGGAAATTTTTTGATAGATACCAGCTTTCTCAACCTAATTACACAGACATAATTAATTTTACCCATCAGCCATGCGTAAGTTCATTGCTATTTCGAACACTTTCCCAAACTTAAACTGAAGGTATTTTTGACACACATCCCTTCCCCAAATCATGCATTAATATTTTCCCTGTCAAAAATAGAAAATGGAAATGCTCTTTCAGCTAGTTGTTTTAATATTCCATAGGCCATTATTATAGCTATCAATTTTGAATACCTACTATGTGCTAGGAAGTAACATAGACATTTTTAATACCTTATTTCATTCATTTTTTTCTACAAACCTTAAAAACATATACAATTATCTTACACTGAAAGATGAAGAAACTGAAATGCACTGTTTTAAGACACCTGGCTTGTTCAAGACTACTTAATTTACATACAGTCACCTAGGGATATGCAGAAAAACTAAGAGATTTGGATTACAGAGGGGCCAGCCAACCAATTTGCCAGATCCTTTCTCTTAACAGATGACTGTTTATGGAATTGTTTTAGTTCAACATTCATTTGTATTTTATGATTAAAATTGAGAACTGAGAGTGACAACAAACTCAGGTTGGGGTAGAAAGATTAAACTGAGAAGAACTCAGGGATATATGGAATTTTAGAGTCATAATTGTTCTAAGTACATTGTAAGTAAAGTCAATCAGTTGGAAATATTTGTAAGCTGAGGAATACACAGGATTGGGTCAGTATAATTTGAGCATATCAACCTATTGAGCCTTTCCCACACTGTATTCTGAAAATAACTATTATTAAATGAAAGACAAATAACTATTCTAAAAATGATAGTAATACCAGTAATAAAATAAGAAAGTCTTTTGGGCTCAAAAGGGTTTGAGAAACACCATGTTTGGTATTCCTGCCTCTCCTTTGCTGATTCATAATACATATAAGCTTTGTGATGACAATAAAAATACCTGTTCCGTGATGTTTCATTTCCCAAGATTTAAAAAGTACATTTGAGTATAGAACATCTTTTCCCTCATGCAACAACACCTAATAATGTCTCATAAAATACGAGCGTTCAATAGAATAACACGATAAGGGAATTGAGAAAGGCCAAATTCTTTATCCTCACATAGAGAGCCCCTCATGATTTGTCCTCCAGTTGTGTTTCTTTGCTGTTCTTCAATAGATTGTTATTTCATAAAAGAATGTAATTTTGGGCCGGGTGCAGTGGCTCATGCCTGTAATCCCAGCACTTTGGGAGGATGAGGTGGGCAGATCACTTGAGGTCAGGAGTTCAAGACCAGCCTAGCCAACATAGTGAAACCTCATCTCTACCAAAAATACAAAAATTAGTCAGGTATGGTAGCACATGCCTATAATCCCAGCTACTTGGGAGGTTGAGGCAGGAGAATGGCTTGAACCTGGAAGGCAGAGGTCGCAGTGAGCCGAGATTGTGCCACTGCACTCCAGTCTGGGTGGCGAAGCGAGACTCCATTTAAAAGAAAAAAAAAAGAGTAATTTTAACTATGATTAGTAGAGCCAGTTAACTTACTTGCGTATAATTATTAACTCTTAGTCAAGGAAATAAAGCACCCCAGAGGCCATATAGCATAAAGATTAGGCATTAAGATGTAAACTTATAAGTCCAGCTCTCATTCTGAAACTTTTGTTTGCATAACTGCACTTATCAATCTCCTTAAGGTACTAAAAATATGTAGTTAGTATAGATTTCCTAAAACAGTGTAGGGCTTATACCTACTGCTGTTAAGAGATAGCTATTAACCCATCACAACTTTAAAATTGAGATTTATTTTCTATATGGAAAATGAAAACTTTGAACAAAACAAGGTTTAGTACATACACATCCAAAAATAATTGAATTGAAACTGTAGTTAATGTTCTCAAGTGGAAAATATAAATTAAAATGTTACAAAACCATATCTTTGCTGACATGAAGGCAATTAGTACATTGCTGCAGATGGATAACAGAAGACTATAGTTCAATCCCATTGTCTTCCACTCCTTCCTCGGCTTATAACCTTTCATGATACTGTATGATTTCTCACTAACTCAGCCTTCATATAAATTTGAGAAACACATTTTGATGATTCAGTGTCTAGTCTTAAGTGGCTTTGCCTTACATATCTGGGAGAATTTTTTAAATATTTAGGAAAACAAACTCTCTACATCACCTTAATGCCAAAAAACACTAACTGTAGGTACACACCTGATGGAGTCATTACCAACTCTTTATGCATTAAAATTGGTCCATCAAAACCTGTTTCACTATGAGGAAAGGGCAGTATGTGTGTGTTTGTGTACATATATATATATATGTATATATGTATATTTACAGACATTTATATTCGAAACACATTTTCCCTGTTTTATTTAAAATTGTCATTTTAGAATTTTTAGATATGTTTGATAACAGATAAAGGTTGAAAATACATCAAATATAATTATACCATTAAGGCTGTCATCATTCACATATTTCTGCACAATCCTTTCCTAGCTAACATTTTATATGATATTTAAATTTTTTTATTTTTAGCTTGTTTAAAGTTAAATTTTAATATAAGAATGTTTCATATTGTTAAACTGTTTCTAAAGATTATTTTTTAATATTGTGTACTGTTACGTATATCAGATGAGCCATAATTAACTTATCTATTAACTCATTTTAAACAGAAAAGATAATTTTGCTTTTTCACTATTGTAAGTAATGACGTGGTGGAAATCTTCATCTATAGAGCTTGTTGCCTTTAATAGGACATTCCCTGAAATTGATACTGGGTCAAAAATTGAGAATCTTTGTTAAGATTCTCAACTTGTCAACTAACACTTTATTTACCTAAATTTATCATAAGTAATGAAACAACCACTACTATTTCATTAGTAGTTGATATTATGTAATTTTGATTAATGTGAGATTCTTATATGCTAAAACAAAGAAATATATTAATTATCATTTTAACTTTCAAGTCACCTTGAAAATTGTTTTGCATGCATTTGGTGCTTGACACATAGTTCTCGAATTAATTGGGCATTATGATATATTCTTATTACTGCATAGCATTTATTCCATATTCCATCAATCAAGAAAAACCAATGTAAAGAAACATTGCTACTGTAGATTGAGTGTGGTCTGAGTCTCTTCATCCAGTAATTGTTGTCAAGGTTTTGATGACAATATAGGGTAGGAATTTTAGTATTTCCATTCTGGCATCACCATGAGGTCAAGTTCTTGCGTGGCCTTAGAAAAGTCATATTTGCTTTCTGGTCTTCAGTTTGTCCAATACTACTTAATTAAGTGGAATGAGGCACACAATGGACTCCCATCTACTCCTATGACACTGATCATTTGTTTACTTCAATGTTTATGCAGAAAAATACAATTTTAAAAATGTTTGTCCACTTTTTGATGGGGTTGTTTGTTTTTTTCTTGTAAATTTGTTTGAGTTCATTGTAGATTCTGGATATTAGCCCTTTGTCAGATGAGTAGGTTGTGAAAATTTTCTCCCATTTTGTAGGTTGCCTGTTCACTCTGATGGTAGTTTCTTTTGCTGTGCAGAAGCTCTTTAGTTTAATTAGATCCCATTTGTCAATTTTGGCTTTTGTTGCCATTGCTTTTGGTGTTTTAGACATGAACAGACACTTCTCAAAAGAAGACATTTATGCAGCCAAAAAACACATGAAAAAATGCTCACCATCACTGGCCATCAGAGAAATGCAAATCAAAACCACAGTGAGATACCATCTTACACCAGTTAGAATGGCAATCATTAAAAAGTCAGGAAACAACAGGTGCTGGAGAGGATGTGGAGAAATAGGAACATTTTTACACTGTTGGTGGGACTGGAAACTAGTCCAACCATTGTGGAAGTCAGTGTGGCAATTCCTCAGGGATCTAGAACTAGAAATACCATTTGACCCAGCCATCCCATTACTGGGTATATACCCAAAGGACTATAAATCATGCTGCTATAAAGACACATGCACACGTATGTTTATTGCAGCATCATTCACAATAGCAAAGACTTGGAACCAACTTAAATGTCCAACAATGATAGACTGGATTAAGAAAATGTGGCACATATACACCATGGAATACTATGCAGCCATAAAAAATGATGAGTTCATGTCCTTTGTAGGGACATGGATGAAATTGGAAATCATCATTGTCAGTAAACTATCGCAAGAACAAAAAACCAAACACCGCATATTCTCACTCATAGGTGGGAATTGAACAATGAGAACACATGGACACAGATAGGGGAACATCACACTCTGGGGACTGTTGTGGGGTGGGGGGAGGGGGGAGGTATAGCACTGGGAGATATACCTAATGCTAGATGACGAGTTAGTGGGTGCAGCGCACCAGCATGGCACATGTATACATATGTAACTAACCTGCACATTGTGCACATGTACCCTAAAACTTAAAGTATAATAATAATAAATTTTAAAAAAATGTTTGTCTTACTCAATTTAAGGTTGCTATAAATAAATGTCTGAGGCCAGGTAAGAGAAAAGAGATTTATTTGGCTCATGGTTCTACAGGCTGTACAAGACGCATGGCACCAGCATCTGCTTCTGGTGTGGACTTCAGGGATCTTCCACTCCTGACAGCTGAGATCACATGGCAAGAGAGGAGGGAGGAGAGAGAAGGGGGAGATACTAGACTCCTTTCAACAATCAGCTCCTATAGGAACTCACAGAGTGAGAACTCGCTCACCTCTATCCCAGGGAGGGCATTAATTTATTCATGAAGGGTTTACCCCCATGACCCAAACCTCCTATTAGGCTCCAACTTCCAACATTGAGATCGAAGTTTAACAAGAGGTTCTGGGGAGACAAACTTCCAAACTATAGTTGTTTCAATGTTCAGGAGTTAGCATCCTGAAATCATTTTTAATGATTAATATTTAATTATATAATATTTCAGTATTTTCTGTGTAATTACCAATAAGCTTCATTTATAGCATAGTCTAATATATATTTTATGCTACATAAAATGACTAAATATTATGAAAAAGTATCACTTACCATTGGTTTCACTATATTTTTGAACAATTTGAGCTCAAATAAATCAAATTAAATCCTGTTGTGCATTACTAACGTCCAAAAATAATTTTTCTCTCTATTGCCAGGTCTGTGCTGTTCTTTTAATGATGGAATATGGCAGCATGCTTCTAAAGCTCTAAATGTACCACTTTCAAAGTTTTTCACAGTGGGTTGCAGCATCAGATGCCTATTTCTAGAAATTCTCTACTTCAGCTGGCCTCCCACATACTTTGAGTTGTGGAGATTATTAAAAATTTGAACGATGGAAAAAAAATTTATATTTAAAACCAACACAATATATTAAGAATCAGTCTCTCTCTCTCTCT
Organism: Homo sapiens; assembly: GCF_000001405.40. Classification (NCBI taxonomy): domain Eukaryota; kingdom Metazoa; phylum Chordata; class Mammalia; order Primates; family Hominidae; genus Homo; species Homo sapiens. Next base: position 60,844,978 of record NC_000016.10, read on the forward strand.
CTGTCTTTCTCTCTCTCTCTCTTTCTCTCAGAAAAAGCTACCTTTAAAAATTAAAATATAGCGGGTTCTCAGATTTGGATGGATTCCTAGGTTATTCAGTTCTTCCTAGGTACAAATCTCTGACGGGTTGATGACCCACCTTTTCTTGAATATCATCCGTGTCTGAAATGTCTAGAAGATGCCTTCTCCTTGCTGGACAGCTCAACTAGAAAATGTTACCTTGGTTGAAACAGTCACACCTCCCTTTCGAACCTTTATTGATTACAGTTCTCCAAAACTTCTTAAAGCATATTGTAGCCATAAGCATTTTGTAGAAAATATGTTTCTGCAAAACTGAATGTTTCATTTAATTGACAGGTGATACATATTTTTCTTTTTTGCATAAAGAACAGGCTTTTCCCTTTTACACATCTGTTTCCCCCTTGCTGTTTACCCGGGTGATATCTGCTAATATTTGACCACTCCCATACCCTGGATTCATTTCAAAAGCATCATCATCCTTCAGGAATTTGCTGAAACGTTCCATATCTCTGATACTTTCCTAATTTATTTATCAAAGTTTTCTTCTTTATCATTCTTTTCCTGGAGCACTGAAAACTATCTTGTTTGCCTTTGAATATATGCTTCTGTTTTGTGGCAAAATGAATACTCCTTAATTTTCTGTCTGGGTGAATGAAACAAAATTTCCAAGTATCACCAAAAAGATATAAATTACATTCTGACAGATTTCCTTTAGTTGAAACCATCTCATATTATCACTTCCACAACCCTAGGCCTGCAATCCCTAGTTGCAAGTAGTGGTTCAATCTAGGAAAGTAACAAAAACAAAAACAACATGACTGATTTAACAATATATAAGCTTACATATGAAAATTGCCATAACTTCTAATTGATGGAAGTTTCTTTTTTTTAAATTATGAAATGATAGACTTGTTGCAATAGGCATCATTGGGTTGAACATCAGAACATTTTCCTGCTTTGCTTTATGTGATGGGGCCAGTGCTCTGCTCTGATTGCTTAAGGTTAAATTGCGTATTTAAAGCACGTAGCACATTGACTGACACATCAGAAAGGTACATAAATGTAATAACCTTTTAGATTTTTTTAAAAATAGGAGTAACTCAGAGGGGAAATCTACCTTCTGTGCATCATAAATGGCTTCTGTCTTCATTAACGGGTGAAGGAAGTAGAGAAAGTTAAATGCCTATAATTAAGTCTTGGGACCTCTCTGTAATTGTAACATAATATGCCCTTCCTCTCCAAATCACATGTATTCAAAGGGAGCAGAAAACCTCTTCGTACAGGCCCATTCAGTCTATCCCAGGACTGTATTCTTCAGGGCTGTATTCCTAGTTTCCAGAAGGGTGTCTTGAATTCTAGTATTTGCTACATGAGATGAACAGAGGAATGAATGAACTCTTGCCTCAACCTTCGAAGGACATGTATTTACTCAAAATGCTATTGATTAATTTTTAATTAACTCTTTCTTCCAGGCCAATGTCAAATTTATAAGTACCCAGATTGTTTAAGAAAAAAGAAGAAAAATAAAAATAAAACTTTAATATTAATATTAGCATTATAATAAAGTTAAACATATCAGTGTTTTTTAAGATCCTCCATATGTGTGCTGACATTCCTTTCCTCTCCAGCATTCATATTATATCACTTACTACTTTTTTTTTTCTGCATTGATCTTTTCTCAGATTGTTAAATAATTTTAGCTCAGGACTCGTTACTCAAGCCTTTCCACTAGAATTGTTTCTCCCTTATCGCTGTCTATCATCCTTTCCTCCATTGCTCAATTAAGTCCTGCTTATTTATTATACATGTCTGCTTAAATGCCAGTTCTTTGGGAAAATATTTTAGATTTATTTTTGGTCAGATTTATTGTTATAATCTCTTCTTAAAATATATTATTGTCTCTTAAAAATGCCTATCTCAGTTTGTAGTTATTTGTGTAATCATTTTATATAACAATTTGTGTAATTTAAAAATTTTTATATTGTGATGATTAATACCAAGTGTCGACTTGATTGTATTGAAGGATGCAAAGCATTGATATTGGGTGTGTCTGTGTGGGTGTTACCTAAGGAGATTAACATTTGAGTCAGTGGACTGGGAGAGGCAGACCTACCCTCAATCTGGGTGGACCCAGTCTAATCATCTGCCAGCATGGCCAGAATAAAAGCAGGCAGAAGAACGTGAAAAGACTAGACTGGCCTAGCCTCCCAGCCTTCATCTTTCTCCTGTGCTGGATGCTTCCTGGTCCAGAATATCACACTCCAAGTTCTTCAGCTTTGGGACTCAGGCTGGCTTCCTTACTCCTCAGCTTGCAGACAGCCTGTTGTGGGAACTGGTGATTGTGTAAGTTAATACTCTTTAATAAACCCCAATATATATCATATATGATATATATGATATATATCATATATATCATATATGATATATATGATATATATCATATATATCATATATGATATATATGATATATATATCTTACTAGTTCTGTCCTTCTAGAGAACCTTGAGTAATACAAATTTTGGTACCAGGAGTGATTCTAGAGGAACAGAATATTAAGGATTGAGTTATTTCGTTGGTTTAGGGGTTTCTAGATTTGGCTGCTTAGTATGATTAGACCCAAAAATGCTGAAGACTCTACTTCTAATAGTATGGGGAAACACTGATAGTCCTTGGTGTGAACTGTTTAGAGAATTATGCAAAATAAATGCATGTGGCACTTTTGATTCTCTGTTCATGAAAGGCAAGATGTTTAGTGACTCTGTGTGTAATACCTTTGACTATATGTGGAGAACCATGAATGAAGTTGGTTGTTTGCTCATAAGTTCACTGGACAAAGTGATGAAAGAAAATGATGAACTCAGGGATTCTAACTCCCAGCTTCAGAAGCAGATACAGAGCCTCAAATCTTCAAAGATTGCCCTGAGCGAAAGTCCTATCTCCTGTAGAAAAAAGAGCTGAAATTGTGGAAAAACAGACACAAGCTCTTATAATGCAAGTGGCTGACCTACAATGAAAGGTGCTTGCACAGCCTCGCCAGGTGTCTACTGTTGAAGTGAGGGAATTCATTGGGAAAGAATGAGACCCTGAAACTTGGAATGGGGACATGTGGGAGAACCTGATGAAGCTGGGGACACTGAGCATGTAAACTCTGATGAACCTTTTTTTTTCCAGAAGAAACAGCTTCCGTATCTCCTGTAGTGGCAACATTTCCTTCCTGACCTATGTTGCCATCAGTCTTTCCACCTTTGTCTGAGGACATAAACCCTGAGCTATCTGTGGCTACAGTGAGGGACTCCCCTGAGGCTGTTGCCAGGCAATATAATGTTGATTCTCCTCAGGACCCACTCTCAACACCCCTGTTTGCTTTTAGACCTATACCTAGACTAAAGTCCTCCTGGGCCCCTAGAAGTGAGATTCACAGTGTGACCCATGAGGATTTACACTACACTTGGAAAGAACCCTTGAGTTTTCTAATTTATATGAGCAGAAATCTGGAGAACAGGCATGGGAATGGATATTAAGGGTGTGGGATAATGGTAGAAGAAACATAGAATTGGATCAAGCTGAATTTATTGACTTGGGCCCACTAAGTAGGGATTATGCATTTAATGTTACAGCTCAGAGAGTTAAAAAAGGTTCTAATAGTTTATTTGCTTGATTAGTTGAAATATGGATTAAAAGATGGCCCACTGTGTGCAAGCTGGAAATGCCAGATCTCCCTTGGTTTAATGTAGAGGAAGGGATCCAAAGGCTTAGAGAGATTGGGATGTTGGAGTGGATTAGTCACTTTAGACTTACTCATCCCAGCTGAGAAGTTCCAAAAGATAAACCCCTGACCAATGCTTCGCAAAACAGATTTGTGAGGGCAGCACCTGCATCTTTGAAGAGCCCCGTAATCACTCTTCTCTGTCTGTCAGATCTAATCATGGGAACTACAGTCACTCAACTGCAAAATTTAAATACAATGGGAATAATTGGACCCTGAGGTGACAGGGGCCAAGTGGCCACAGTCAATCTTCAAAGGCAAGGTGGGCATAGCTACCATAATAGACAGCAGAGACAAAGCAGCAATCAGAATAGTCTGACTTGTGTAGAGCTCTGACATTAGAAAATTAATCATGGTGTTCCTAGAAGTGAAATTGATAGGAAGCCTACAGCATTCCTACTTAATTTATATAAGCAGAAACCTTCCAGGTTGAGTGGACAAAATACTAACTCGAATTATAAAAACAGAGAATCATGGCCCCTCAATCAATTTCCAGACTTTAGCCAATTCACAGACCCAGAAACTCTTGAATGAAGGGGAGGCCATGTTCCCTTGAGGAAGGACCCCACTACACCACTGACAATTTATGCTGTTAATATTTCTCCCACCCTTACCCAAGGAGACCTCCAGCCTTTTGCCTGGTTAACTGTGCATTGGGGAAAGGGAAATGATCAGACATTTCAGAGACTACTGAACACTGCCTCTGAGCTGATATTCATTTCAGGGTACTCAAAATGTCACTGTGGTCCTCCAGTTAAAGTAGGGGCTTATGGAAGTCAGGTAATTAATGGAGTTATGGCTCAGGTCTGACTTACAGCAGGTCCAGTGGGTCCCTGGACTCATCCTGTGTTCATTTTCCCAGTGCCAGAATGCATAATTGGCATTGTCATACTTAGAGGCTGGCAGAACCCCCACATTGATTCTGTGACTGGTAAGGTGAGGGCTATTATGGTGGGAAAGGCCAAATGGAAGCCATTGGAGCTGCCTTTACCTAGGAAAATAGTAAATCAAAAACATTATCACCACCCTGGAGGGATTGCAGAGATTAGTGCCACCATCAAGGACTTGAAAAATGCAGGGGTGGCGATTCCCATAACATCCTTGTTCAACTCTCCTTTTTGGCCTGTGCAGAAGACAGATGGATCTTGGAGAATGAGAGTGGATTATCATAAGCTTAACCAAGTGGTGACTCCAATTGCAGCTGCTATACAAGATGTGGTTTCATTGCTCAAGCAAATTAATACATCTCCTGGTACCTTGTATGCAGCCATTGACTTGGCAAATGGCCTTTTACCCATTCCATAAGCCCCACCAGAAGCAATTTGCCTTCAGCTGGCAAGGCCAGCAATGTATCTTTACTGTCCTACTTCAGGGGTATATCAACTCTCCGGCTTTGTGTCATAATCTTATTCAGAGTGATCTTGATCACTTTTCACTGCCACAAGATATCACACTGGTCCATTACATTGATGGCATTATGTTGATTGGATCCAATGAGCAAGAAGTAGCAAACACACTGGACTTATTGGTGAGACATTTGCATGCCATAGGATGGGAAATAAATCCAAATAAAATTCACGCACCCTCTACCTCAGTAAAATTTCTAGGGTCCAGTGGTGTGGGGCCTGTCGAGATATTCCTTTAAAGGGAAGGATAAATTGCTGCATTTGGCACCTCCTACAGCCAAGAAAGAGACACATCGCCTAGTGGACCTATTTGGATTTTGGAGACAACACATTTCTTATTTGGGTGTGCTATTCCAGCCCATTTATCCAGTGACACAAAAGGCTGCCGGTTTTGAGTGGAGTCCAGAACAGAAGGCTCTGCAACGGGTCCAGGCTGCTGTGCAAGCTACTCTGCCACTTGGACCACATGACCCAGCAGATCCAACGGTGCTTGAGGTTTCAGTGGCAGACAGTGATGCTGTTTGGAGCCTCTGGCAGGCCCTCACAGGTAAATCACAGTGGAGGCCTCTAGGATTTTGGAGCAAGGCCCTGCCATCTTCTGCAGATAACTACTCTCCTGAGAGACAGCACTTTTCCTGTTATTGGGCTTTGGTGGAAACTGAGTGTTTGACTATGGGTCATCAAGTCACTATGTGACCTGAACTGCCTGTCATAAACTGAATGCTTTAAGACCCATCTAGTCATAAAGTGGGTCATGCACAGCAGCATTCAATCATCAAATTGATGTAGTATATATGTGATTGCGCTCATGCAGGTCCTGAAGGCACAAGTAAGTTACATAAGGAAGTGTCTCAAATGCCCATGGTCTCCACTCCTGCCACCCTGCCTTCTCTCCCCCAGCCTGAACTGAGGGCCTCATCGGGAGTTCCCTATGATCAGTTGACAGAGTAAGAGAAGACTAGGGCCTGGTTCACAGATGGTTCTGCACAATATGCAGGCACCACCTGAAAGTGGACAGCTACAGCACTATGGCCCCTTTCTAGGACATCCCTGAAGGACAGTGATGAAGGGAAATCGTCCCAGTAGGCACAACTTCGAGCAGTGAACCTGGCTGTGCACTTTGCATGGAAGAAGAAATGGCCAGATGTGCGATTATATACTGATCCATAGGCTGTAGCCAATGGTTTGGCTGGTTGAACAGGGACTTGGAAGAAGCATAATTGGAAAATTGGTGACAAAGACATTTGGGGAAGAGGTATGTGGATGGACCTCTCTGATTGCTCAAAGACTATGAAGATATTTGTATCCCACGTGAGTGCTCACCAGCAGGTGGTCTCAGCAGAGGAGGATTTTAATAATCAAGTGGATAGGATGACCTGTTCTGTTGACACCATTCAGCCTCTTTCCCCAGCCGCTGCTGTCATTGCCTAATGGGCTCAGGAACAAAGTGGCCACAGTTGCAGGGATGGAGGTTACTCATGGGCCCAGCAACATGGAATTCCACTCACCAAGGCTGACCTGGCTATGGCCACTGCTGAGTGCCCAATTTGCCAGCAGCAGAGACCAACACTGAGACCTCAATATGGCACCATTCCTCAGGGTGATCAGCCAGCTACCTGGTGGCAGGTTGATTATATTGGACCTCTTCCATCATGGAAAAGGCAGAGGTTTGTCCTCACTGGAATAGACACTTACTTTAGATATGGGCTTGCCTATTCTGTGTGCAATGCTTCTGCCAAGACTACCATCCATGGACTCAGGGAATGCCTTATCCACCATCATGGTATTCCACACAGAATTGCCTCTAACCAAGGCACTCACATTATGGCTAAAGAAATGTGGCAGTGGACTCATGCTCATGGAATTCACTGGTCTTACCATGTTCCCCATTATCTTGAAGCAACTAGATTGATAGAACGGTGGAATGGCCTCTTGAAGTCACAATTACATTGTCAACTAGGTGACAATACTTTGCAGGGCTGGGGCAAAGTTCTCCAGAAGGCCGTGTATGCTCTGAATCAGCATCCAATATACGGTACTCTTTCTCCCATAGCCAGGATTCATCAAGGGGTGGAAGTGGAAGTGGCACCACTCACCATCACCCCTAGAGATCCACTAGCAAAATTTTTGTTTCCTGTTCCCCCGACATTATGTTCTGCTGGCCTAGAGGTCTTAGTCCCAGATGGAGGAATGCTGCCACGAGGAGACACAACAACGATTCCATTAAAGTGGAAGTTAAGATTGCCACCTGGACACTTTGGGCTCCTCCTACCTTTAAGTCAACAGGCTAAGAAGGGAGTTACAGTGTTGGCTGGGGTGATTGACCAAGACTGTCAAGAAGAAATCAATTTGCTACTCCACAACGGAGGTAAGGAAGAGTATGAATGGAATCCAGGAGATCCATTAGTGCATCTCTTAATATTATCCTGTGATTATATTACTCTTAATACTGCCCTGTGATTAAGGTCAATGGGAAATTACAGCCCAATTCAGGCAGGACTTCAAATGGCCCAGACCCTTCAAAAAATTAAGGTTTGGGTCACTCCACCAGGAAAAAACACAAAAACAAAAAATGTGACCTGCTGAGCTGCTTGCTGAAGGCAAATGGAATACAGAATGGGTAGTAGAAGAAGTTAGTCATCAATACCAGCTATGATCACGTGACCAGTTGCAGAAACAAGGACTGTAATTATCATGAGTATTTCCTCCTTCTTTTGTTAACATGTACTAAGAAAATATCTTCGATTTATTGTAGTTGTACCAAGAAAATATCTTCGGTTTATTTCATTTTTCCTTTACTATGTAACATAAGATTTACTGACTTCATATCAGCATTTAAGTATTGTTACCTTTATATAATAGCATTTGGGTTGGGGATTGATACATTTCCGGTTGTACAAAGGATAGTTGTATTATATTAGGCATAGTTATGACCTTATGACTGTCTTTATTTGAAGATTATATATGATCTCAGGAGATGTGTACGGGTTCATGTTGACAAGGGGTGGACTTGCGATGATTAATACTGAATGTCAACTTGATTGGATGGAAGGATGCAAAGTATTGATCCTGGGTGTGTCTGTGAGGGTGTTGTCAAAGGAGACTAACATTTGAGTCGTGGGTTGGGAAAAGCAGACCCACCCTCTATCTGGGTGGGCACCATCAAGTTAGCTGCCAGTGCAGCCAGAAAATAAAGCAGGAAGAAAAACGTGAAAAGACTAGACTGTCCTAACCTCCCAGCCTACATCTTTCTCCTGTGCTGGATGCTTCCTGCTCTGGAACATCAGACTACAATTTCTTCAGCTTTGGGACTCAGACTGGTTTCTTTGTTCCTCAGCTTGCAGATGGCCTATTGTGAGAGCTTGTGATCATGTGAGTAATACTCCTTAATAAACTCCCCTTTAGATACACACACACACACACACACACACTATTAGTTCTGTCCCTCCAGAGAACCCTGACTAATACACATATAGATTCTAAATTCCATAAGAATAAGATCTATGTATCTATCTTGACCATTGTAACTCTGTTGCCTACTATGATTGATAAAAAGGGCTTAGTAACCAAGCACCAAAAGAAAGTGCAAAAAAAAAAAAATCTCCCAGCTGCTTACTGAAGTGGCTGCGTATGAGATTTATAATTTCTAACACTGTACAATTCATAAACCTCTTTTAGAGGAATTGTTCTCCAGTGAGCAGTGCTTAACAAAAATATTTATTTAAATGTATTAGCAATAAGATATATTTCTGATTATTTCACAATTATAGAACATTTGCGATAGGTATTTAATTCTAATTTTGAAAATCATGTTTTATGAATGTCTTAAATAAATTTTCTCAGTTTTCATTTAGTTGCCTGCTTAGCCTGTCTCAGCAGGTAGCATAATTGCCATCGTCTTCATCATTCTGAAGTAGTCATAAATTCTATCTGAAAAAAAATTCAAGGTCCACTTCTTGCAAAGGTAGTACGGAGAGTTCCCATATAGCCTTCATCCAGCTGCCCTTTATATCATGTCACAAATTTTAGTGTCTTCTCAAACATCAAGTTGTTTGAAAACAGGAAATTGCAGTTGGTTTGAGATAGACCTATATGGAGAATAAGTCTTTTAGAAGATCATCATGGAGCCCCAACTTCTTCCAAACTTGATCCAGTACTGGAGTTCACAGAGAAAGTCCTTCCTGTGAAGCAAGCAACAAAACCCATTCTCAGGATATCTCTGTTGTGTGCTGTTGACACACTGAAGAAAGGGGGAAATGGAGAGAAGCCTTTTTATACACACAAAGCCACTCATACTCAGAGGGAAAAAAAAGCCTATTGACTCTGGCTGTCTGACACACTTGTAAAAACATTAGTAATTACCGAATCCTGGAATTTCACAGTTAATACTTGGAGAAATAAGTGACTCACTCCTAAAACATACATACATATACATACACACGTTATATGTGTGTATAATGTTTATGAATTATATACATATGTTTATTTACATATATAAAAATTACATTTTACATGCTGTGCATACTTGTGTGTATATATACACACGTACATACACATGCTAATCTTAGAATTACAGTAATATAGTAGTAGGTAATCACATGCGGCTATTGATCACTTCAAATGTAGCCAGTACAAATTGAGATGGGATATAAGTGTAAAATCTACATAGGATTTTAAAGACTTAGTATCAAAAAGAATGTATAATATCTCATAATATTTTATATTGAATACTATTTTAGATATATGTAATTAGATAAAATATTAAAAAGATCTCTCTATTTACCCTTTTAAAGTGGCTTCTAGAAAATGTATAATCACATATGGGGCTCACATTGTATTTTTATCAGACAGTGCAGACTCAATGACCATAGAAGTGCAGTAAAATCAAACAAAAAAACAGAGAGAATAAAAACATTGACTTAATGGTGGAAAGCTTTCCAAGGCAAAAGAGCACAATAGGTAATACATGAGTTAGGCATCAGACTGAATTCAAATTCTACCTCTGCTACTTGTTAATTATGTGGCCTTGGAAAATATGTTTAATTAACTTTTCTAAACTGGGCTTTTACTTATATAAAAGGAAGAAGAAGAATCAAATCTAGCGGAAATGGCTATATAAAATAATACATTTAAACTCACACTACAATTTTTGTCATATAATAAGATTAGCGCTCATTAAAGTTATTAAGTGCTGTACTGTATATAGGAGTAACACAAATGTTCAACCATCTTCTCCAACTTCAATGAGACAGAATTCACCTATGTTATTATCTCTGTGGACTTAAATTTCAGCCTGTTTTCTTATTTTCAAAACGCTTATATTTTATCTACTCAGAGAGTTTTGAAGATTAAATGCTATTAAGACTATGTAAGGTTTTATAAATTGAAAAGTAAGACTTTAGCTCATGCTTTTATTCATTCTCTCTTTGTTCAGATCCAGCTTCCTTTAAACATCTTGGATCTTGGCTCTCGTTTATCCCTTGATTTTTCTTGTTATCTTTCAATTTTGCTGAGAAAATATAAGGAAAAATAGTTCTCTCAAAACCTTATTGTCTGGAGACCATTGGTATGCAAGAATTTTTTTTTGGTCTATTTTGGCCCCTTGAGTCTAAAATTCAAAAAGACCTTCCTGCGAAAAGTTATTGGGTAAATTGTACTTTTGTGACCCTATCAACAAACTTCTCCAAGCAAATGACAGTTTATTATTATGTTTGTCTTTGTCTTTTATACAATTCAGCTCAATTGAGTCAAAACAATGACATAATTCAGAAAATATTTATTTTTAATATATGTCAAGTATTTAAATTACCCATTGTTTGAAATAGCTAATTATCTATGAAAGCAGAGGTTCTACTTCGTACAGTTCCTATGAAAACCAGACTCACCAGTCATATGAGAGTTTACTATTTTCTTCTGCATCTTTCTAGTTAAAGGGAAAGATGGGTGGATGCATTAAGGAGTAATTGAGGCTGAGGAATAAGTGGGAAGGAAAAAAATCAAGGGACAATTTCAGAAAGTTTCAAAGTAGTTAAAAAGGTGAATGCTTAATCTCTGAAAGCATAAGTCTATGTAGGGAATTTTGTATATTTTATAATTTATCATTTTAAATAAAAAGATTTAATGAAAAGTAAGATACTAAGATTTACAAGTTCTCACGTGGAGTGACTTTTAGGAGACTTGTTTTGCTCAACAGTCTCTTTCTGTTTCCTTTCGTGGGAATCATACTGCATGTTAACCTGTATTAAAGGAAGCAGATTAAAGTGGATGTATGTATATCACGTGTTTTTCGTCTTTCTCTCTATAGCTGGAGGGCTAATAACAACATTCAGTTCAGAATGGGCACTGAATCTCTGCTATGTCTTTTCGACACCAGAGTGCTTGTTGAACTTGAAAGCAGGAGAAGCCAGGGGAGATTAAATGCATCAGTGAGTGGGGAGAGAACGTGTGATTTCCACGAGATACTCAGGCTGGTTTCAGGGCAATTAGTTGTTACCTCAGTGTCCAGAATGTATGTCTGAGGGAAAGAAAGAACTACTTCTGCGTTGTCAGCTGTAAGGAGCCAGAACGACTGAGGCTATCCCCAACAAGCAACTCCGGCTAAAACACTTCAGTACAGAAGCTATTCACTTACATGATTCAACTAGTATGTGTGTATGTATGTCTCCTTCACACAACACTTTAGAAATGCAAATTGTATGATAAAAATCAGAGGAAACCATATTGTCATACAAATAAAAGTTGTACTGAAACAAACATAAATTAGTCTTTTACTTTTGGCCCTAAAATGACTTTCTAAACATATTCATTGCCTTTTACCTTTAGGGATATTTAACTCTAGGCAATTCAACAGTGATTCCCTGAATGAGGCCACCTGATCCTCTCCTGTATTAAACTATATATATATGGTTAATGTTTTAATAATTAGTTATACTTATGGTTACATGACAAATACTCAGATTTGGGGCATTTCCTTATGTGAAGCAGCATCAGTGACAAATAATATTCCATCTTTCTTTTTGTTAAGAGTAATAGAATGTGCAAGAAGGAAACTGCAGGAGAGTAAAACTGTGTTTTTTTTTCTATGAATCTTTTAATTGTCTTTGAAAGTATCTAGCAGGTCCCCATGCTGTATCTTTTTTTCCCATCAGTATACTAATACCGATCTTTACTAGTGTTGGAAGCAATGTCTGACATTTCAAAGAGGTCAGTGAACATATTTATTCTTCCCAAATAAATGATAGTAAAGATTTCATCTACAAAAAAGAGAAGGTGAAGTAGGGTCATCAGAAAGGTGAAATGCACAAATGACTCCAAATAGATCAAAAGATCTTGCTTGCTCCAGAATGGCATCCCCTCAGTATGCTTAGAGTGCAATGAACAGTCATTTGAACATAATTTGATGGAACCAAGTGAGACAGAATTTTACAAAGAGATCTGGATAAATATCAGACTCTTCTCCAAAGAGAGGTGAGGAATGGAAGGTAGAAAGAGGAGAGGTTTAGAGCACATGGACTTAATTAGTGAGATAAAGTGTGACCAAATCTCCTAACACTTTAACCTTTAAAAAGAAACAGTGAGTTTGGAAATTAGAAACATCTTGAAATTAGAGAATAAAATGCTTTTTTATGTTCTTAGCTTATGGTTCTCACAGAGAAATGAATAACATTCTAGGATTTGGTGTAACTTTCAATGCTGGAATAGTTTCATCATGGCTATGTTGTTTTGTACTGAGCTACATTCTTTGTGATGTCTTTCATAGAAATCAAGTATTGGAAGATAGCTTAAAAACAGTAAATCCAATATCTTGCCTACAGGTCCAACCTTCCCCCGCTCTTCCTCCTCCTTCTCCTCCTCCTTCTCCTCCTCCTCCTCCTCCTTCTTCTTCTTCTTCTTCTTCTTCTTATTATTATTATTTTGCCTTGTTGACATGGAGAACCTGAAAAGTGAGAAAAAAAAGTGGGTATGTTTAGAGTTTATAAAGCTAGTAAACCCCTAAAAAATATTATTTAAAATCTATTGTATGTTAAAATGCTAAATTATCAATGACTCTGAGATACTTTGGTCACTGTATATCTCATGCCTGTATTCAGAACTGTAATATGCACAGCTATTATAGAGAAATTTGGAGCATATGAGAGGGAATGGGATGAAAATACTGTCACTGTCGAAAAATCTTCACTGAACCCTTGATTTGGAAAATGGAAAAAAACCTTAAGTCTGAGAAGTAAAAGGGAAGGACACTACAAGTAAAATCAAGACAAATTTAAAAAAGAGGGAGATACACACAGATACGTATATAGATAGAGATAGAGAGACAGAGAGAGAGACTGAGGGAGAGAATGTGGGAGGGAGAGGGGAAGAGAGCAAGGGAGGAAGGAAGGAAGGAAGGAAGGAAAGAAATAAGTTAGTTCCTCTCCTGGTAAAATTGGTGAAAATTCAATGATCTGGGAATAAAGAGTAAGCAAGGTGGGCACATTCTCATTTGACTCATTCCACAATAAGGTTAAGCTTAGGAACTTAGAGGAACTAGACAGAAAACACTACAAGGCTTATGGAAAGCGGCTGCTCAAAGGATTCTACTTTTGACTTACTCCTCACCTACAGACTCTCTCTCAGCTAGCTCCACCATACACAACATAAATCATTTAGTGGCACGAAGCAAAGATAGCTTGCTAGACTCACCAAACATTAATTTAGTAGTTTGCTGTATAGTAAACTCTTTATCATTCCTAGAACAAAGCATTCACCTTTATTTCAATAATTTTCAGTGTATAAACCCCAAGGAAATGATACACAAGTAAGGAAGTTTGAATAGATGCAAGATTCATAGTAGAAATGGGCAAATAAAAAAATTCAAGGATCTACCTGCAGGGACATGGATCTCCAGTAAGTATCAGTATTGGCAACAGACATTGCAGAATAAAAGCCCCATGCCACTTTTTTTTTTTTTTTTGGCTTATCAAGCACAGAATTCCACTCTAGTTCTGATGTAGCTACTGAGTAGCTGACACCAGTATTTGAGTAGTTCTTCTGTTTGCTTCCCTTCCAACTGTAACTTCCCCAAATTGTGTAGTGGTTACTAACACAGGTTCTGAAATCAGAAGCGTAAGAGTAAATATCATTCTAGTAGCTTAATGAATATGTGGCCTTAGGCAGGCATTATTGAACCACAGACTCTTGCTGTCTCTAATAAAATAAGAAGAATAATGTGTGAGTCCAGGTCTTCTGAAAAGCATAAACCAAGCCAGGATTAAATGGAAAAGGATTATATTATAGAAAATGCCTATCAGAGGAAAAATAGAAAAGAAGGCAGAAAAGACTGGGAGACCTCAGATATGATGCAGAAATGAGAGAGACAGATGAGGTGGGGTAGCAGCATTATAGATGGCCACGCAGCCCGAGGAAAGTTCAGCAAAGCCGTGAGGGAGTCCTCAAGCTGAAGCTGCTCATCAGAGGAGTCCTGTGTCTTCCAGGAAAAGGGCTGACTTAGTATTCCTGATGCACACAGTCATTTACAGTGAGCAGTTCATAGAAGGTATGGCCCTGGTACAAAGGTGTGATGAATTTCAAAGTGTAGCATTTGGAGCTGTCTGCAATTGGAAGTCTGTGAGACACATTGTCTTGGCTATCACAAGGGAACTATTCTTCTCATAGGCAAAGCATTAAATACATGTAAGCGTTTAAAATCACAGTGTAAGCACTTAGCAAATATTGGTCATCACTACTACTATTATTACACTACTATTACCATTACAACTATGACTACTATTTACTGCTATTTGATGTGTCCCATCCATTAGCCATATATGTGACATTATCACTATTAAATAACTGACTTTTTTTCAGAGTGGGATTTAGGTTTTCATCCCTCTTGGGAGCACCTAGTATAGGACTCTGAAATATTCTTTTTCCTGGTACCTTGAGTTATAGAACACACAAACAAGAAATCTGCTTATATATTGATAGAGAATGGACACAAAGAAACAAGATCGTCATAACTGGAACGGGAATCAAAATTGCATTTGACGAAGGGAACCCCTGATATGGATTTCCCTGAAGCCCACTCACTGAAGAAGGGAATCGGTATTCTACAAAGGCACTTTAGACTTTAAATAAAATGTTGGACAATTTGTCAAACATTATCCAATTTTTAAATATTTCTTAAGAAAGTAAAATGGTTATCTTTAACTTTTTTGTAAATATTTATTCTTTTTTTATCATTTGTTTCACTGCAGAAAGAAAAACACAGTTTGCCAGAACTCATATCTAAGGATAAAATATTTCTAAACATTTGTAAGAGTTATTTAGATTTTAGTACACTAAATAAAAAATAAAAACCTTTAGATCTTCACAAAATAATCACTTTCTTTCTTTCTTTAAGAGGAAGAGTGAGAAAGGCAGAAAAATAGTGAGCAGGAGCTAGGGAGACAGGACTGTTCTGTGGATTGCTGACCCTGAAGCCAAATAACAGAACTTTTGCATTGAACTTTGGAAGCTTTCAGTAACTTTAAAAATGAATTTGATTTCTATTGTTGACACTATCTCTGCACTATTGAGACTAAAAGAGCCAACTTATTACGTGGTGGTCACCTGCGAAGTTCAAGTCCTGCCCTCTACCTGAGTCCTTTGATCATTTGCCCAGGAGACATACAAATTGGTTCCCCCTGGCTCGCCTGTCTCTGCCCAGGCACCACACTCCCAGTGTATTGGTTCCAATTTATCTTAGAAGGGGATGCTCAAGGGCTATGGAATCCATGAAAGTTGGACTAGAACTGTTTCTCCATCAAGCTGTGTGGTTTGAGGCAAGTTATTCTACATCTCTATATCTCTATGTTGCAGTCTCTTCATCTAAAAAATCAGATAATGGTTTGCAATGAAAGGATGGTAAAATCTAGTGATAGCATATGCAAACTGCTTCGTGCATGATGGTACTAAATAAATAAATGGTTACCAACCACATTTAACCAGAAATAAACACATACTCTTTCTTTCACAATATTTACCACTTAAATTCAACCCTGTCAGTCACCTTAAGAAATCAATGAATATAATAAGTTAGTTACTCAGCAAAGTTTTATTCATGCCGAAGACCACACAGTCATTTCTTTATTTGATATCAATGACTTCATTAATGCATTCATTTGTTCATATACAAAAGCAGCACAATATTTTGCTAAGAGCACAATTTTCCTAGGTTTATATAACAGACCTTCCACATAGCAGCTGTATAACTTCGGCAAGACCACTTAACTTCCCTGTGTTTTAGTTATCTCAGTTGTAGAATGAGCATAATAATATCATCTATTCAGTGCCTTTCCAAACGCAAATACTCAGTACACTGGTACTACATTATTGAGCACATAAAACAGGACAATATTTGTGTCAGTCACAGTTGATTGTTATTTTGTATATTTAAGGATACTTCTCCAAACAAAATGGCTTTTTGAGGTCTTTTATGTTATATTTCTAAGATTATTCATATAAACAGTTTTGTCAAAGCAAAAGTAATGACAGCAGAGTTTGCTTTGTTGTCCATCTTTTTCTGTCCTTCCACTTTTTCCTACTCCCCTGACGTTCCTTCATCCCTTGAAAAGTGACCTATTTAAGCTACTTCTAAACATCTACACTTTTACAATCATGTTTACCTGGACTGTCAATTGCAGTGTCTAGAAGCACTGGGGAGAAAAGGATCCACACATTTATTACCAAGTGATGTAATAGCAAGCCTTCCTGATTCATTCATCTATTATTTTGTAATGTTATTCCATTAGCCCTGGGCGACCACTCTTGGGGAAGGGGAATCAAATCCATCATAAACCCCTTTATTGATAGAATACTGCCGCTTGTCTATAATAAACATTATCTCTGCTATTTGAATAAGGTATTCCTATATTTTATTTTTCTTTAGGCGTTTGGGTTCATTCTTCAGTTCCATGTTTAAAAACAAATAGAATAAAATTGAAGAAAAATCCAATCAGATCGCAGAATCTCTAACTAGAGCATATGTTTGGGATTCATACGATAGGTTTTAGAGAAGCTGCTGCTCGTTCATGTACATTAACTCAAATACTGTGATCTCACTTGAAGTTATCCAAGGTTCTGTCATTACTATCATTAACATTCGTATTTGGTGATATTCTTAATTGAAACAATAATGATTATTTAAAAATTTTCATTTTCTAAAAGCAATTTGAACTAGAGCCTCTAGAAACTGAAGTCTTATATAAATACTTCATAATTTGAACCCAGAGTGATATCAACCTGGGTCCTAAATTTGCTAAAGAATAAAATTAATACTTTCCTAGTTTAATACATTAAGGATTTGTTCAAACTTCTACCCCTGTCCACCTGTCTAGCAATATAAAGAAGCCAATATAAATGATATAGAAGATGGGATTGATTAGGATTGTGTCACTAACAGCCAGGTAATAGTCTCTTTATAAAATGCTTTCTATAACCCCACTGAATAACAAAATAACCTACACTGCCTATTATTTGCAAATCCCTATTATTTGGAAAAGTTATTATCAATGTAGTGTCCTACTATGTGTGTTCACATATTAAACTTCTTTAATATACAATTTTTAAAAGATACAAGTGCATTTTCATAATTACATTTAATGTTTAACATATTCCAATTAATGTTTTTAAATTTCCTTCCTACTGTATTCAATGAACTGGCTATATATTTAAATTTGATTTTCATTGCTAATTATAGTCAAATGTAACATCACTCAATGAAGGGATTACATTTTTTTTCTTATCAACTTAAGGTGGCACTGGGTTTAACTATTCATTTAAAGTTTTAACATAATGTGTTTAATATATTTATTCCTGAAAGAAGTATTTTCAATGACTACTAATCCAAATTGTGCTCATTATCCTCCATTTGTCCCCTGGATACACTCTCCATCCTTCTCTAATAGAGGGTCTCTTGACCTCTTCCTTCTGGTTGGGTTTAGCCAAAAAGAACACTGCCTGGAGATAGAAGGGAGAGAAGAGGTCGCGTATTTATTTCTTTAGCTCTGTTTTTCTGGCATACCCTTGCATCTGCTGTTTCTCAAAACCAAGTTTATAATTGCACTTATAAAATCTCCTCCCATCTACTGTCTCATTCTCTGCTGTGGAACACATCCCGCCTTTCACCCTTTAGATCTTCAAGCCTGATGATGGTAACGAAGCATCTCTCTCCTTACTAATCCCTATAGATCCCTAGCACTATCCCTTTATGCCCTTACATTCTGCTCACAGCATTTTCTAAACCCTTTATTAAATTCTTTTCAAATTAAAAAATTGGGATGTACCTTCTGTTTGCTGCCTAGGTACTAACTGATGAATTATCAAGAAACAAAGCTCTTTATTCTAACTGCAAATTGAACTTAATAATAAATGTTTATTTGAAAATACTTATTTTTTTATTTATATCACACTTTAAAAACCATTACAGTTGCCTAGAAACTTACTCCATTAAATTAAAACATTATACCTAGAATTTGCAAGTTTTCTTCAAATTATGACCAAGTTATATATCCCATAGAGAAGTAATATTTACCCATTAGGTACATTCAATAAAGTCTTCTCTGTGTGTGTGTATATGTGTGTGTGTATACAGGAAATAAATACGAAATCGACCTTCCTCATAGTATTACTTTTTTTTGTTTTTTTTTTTTTCTAATCTCAAAGACATGAAGAATCAGAGTGGACTTGCCTGAGAAGTATGTGGGTATGGAGAAAAAGGAGAACAAAGGAGATTTCCAGCATTGTTGAAAGATTAGGAACTAAGGAGACCTTACAATAAATTGCTTAAGGAACAAAGGTCAATATAGATCTTGATACTAAGAGCAGGCAACGGGGGATGCTCTGAAAGAAAAGGCAGACTTGAAAGAGGAATGGCATGAAAAATGTCATTATATTTTTATATCTATATTGAGCCGTCACTATTTGCCAGCCACGTCAAGCATGACTGTTTTTATTCTCATTGTACATTTGAAGAAAGCATAATAAAGAAAATTCTCCAGCATTTTCTAGTAGAGCAGAAAAATTTAAACCCAGTTTCCTCTGATCCTGTGCCTAAGCATCATATCAAATTCAGGCTATTCAGTTTTTTTAGATGAAAAGTGGAATAGTGCAGATAGTACCTAATTTCCGTGTGCCAAGAGTTACATATAGGGCCCATCTCTTTGGTAGGGTGCCAAGACCATAAGGCAAAATGGGGAGTTCTATTCAAATACTGCAATGGCCGCCACAGCCATTACTAAAGCAACTTATGCTGAGTGGCCACAAGTAGAGTGAAGTCTCTTAAGAAGTTAGAAAATCTTTCATTCCTGAAAATTTCCTGGATAGTCTTAAATCCTCTTTTATGTGAACACTGAGGTGGGAGGATTTACTCATCAGACTCAGAATTACACTAAAATGTCCTCTGTTCTCTTCCTGCTTGTATGGGCATTTACACCTGGCTGTTTGGTTATTATTTTTTCCATAAGAAGCTCATTTTGATTCAGTAAATACAAGTGAATTATTATTTTTTTGTAATGGATATATGTTGAAACTCTCTCAGCACCTGATATTTGCTAAGACATAGGCCTGCTTTAAACCAGCTGCTGTGAAAACAATATAAATACATTTCTGTCCTTAGATACTTTTCCTGGCATTGTGCTTCTGAGCATTTACACCTGGCTGTTGGATTATTTCTTCCATAAGAAGCTCATTTTGATTGAGCAAATACAAGTAAATTAATATTTTTTAATAGAAATAGGTCTGAAACTTTCTTAGCATCTGATATTCTCCAACGTGTAGGTTTGCAGTAAACCTATAATTTCTCTGCAAAGTCTAAAATTAAAACCATTTTACTAGCTGGATGGTCATTTTAAAAAATCTACAAACAACAGCAGCAGCAATCTAACTAGGATGAATGAGTGCGTGTGTTATTTTATTTAAGTATTTATTTTTCATCAAAAAATATATTTCAAGGCTAAGTATGAGTGAGTTCTTAAAAACACTCTGGGAAAAAACAACTTATAAAAGTTAATTATTTTAAAATCTCGTTGTCAAAGTTGATCAAAGAATCCAATAATCACTGCAGGTATTAACTGAATACTGTTCGCTTTAACAACTCGAAATAACTTGTCATTCCAAGACACACGCCCTTTGTTATTTGTGTCTCTAAATTACTAAAATGACCTAAGACATACACTTGGTCTCTCCTGGTTGGGTGATCCAAAACTAATTGTCTTTTTTCCTTTTCCTTCCTAACTTCTTCGATAGCTTGTCATTGGATATTTTATCATTGTATGAGGTCTAGCCATTGAGAAGACACTCTATAACTTTGTTTCTCTCAAACTTTTTGGCCACAGATGTGTCATTCTAACTTTTATTTTAATGATTAAATGTTGTTCGGAAAGGATATGTGAAATATTCCACTAGGGAAATGTGAGAATGGTGAATATGGGTTGAAATTGTCAACTTCTTTCATGTAGTTAACCTAAGGAGAAATACTAATCTCTCTTTTCTGACTTTCTTGAATACGGAGTTTAGCATGAATGTTTAAGCACTGCTATTTCCTGTTTGTTTGATTTTTGAGGAGTTCATACATTCTAAACTAATGCCAAAGGGAAAAATTTACCTCTGAAATTCTCCTGATTTGAAACTTAATTAAATGGTTTGCACAAAAACAAAATAATCTGACATTGCTTTGTCCTTTTCTAATTATATATAACTATCTATACACATACACACCCACACACACACACACACACACACATATATATAATACATATATACATACATATATTTATACTAAACAGGGACATTGGAGACCAGGCATGGTGGCTCATGCCCATAACCCCAGCACTTTGAGAGGCCAAGAATGTGAGGATTGCTTGAGGCCAAGAGTTACAGACCAGCCTGGGCAACATAGCAAAACCTCATCTCTACAAAATATATTTATTAAAAAATAGCCAACTACAGTGGTGCGCACCTGTAGTCCTAGCTACTTGGGAGGCTAAGCCCAAGAGTTCAGTGCTGCAGTGAGCTGTGACCTGCACTGCACTCTAGACTGGGTGAAAGTAGGAGACCCTATCTCTTAAAAAAAAAAAAAAAAAGACATTGGGTGTCTTTTAAAATAATTTGAAATAAGAAAACTGACTAATTAAAAGAGTATAAATTTGGAAAGGAAACAATTTACTGTCAAGAGAATAAACACTTGCATATAACTTAGGGCTTTTTTTTCCCCCAGATGTTGATGATTACCATTCCTTATAATTTTAGGAAGTGGAATTCCCTCTCCAAAAGGGAACTGTATCTGCTATACAAAGGTCACCTATTTGGACAGACATCAATAAACCTAACATTCAGGATGGTGAATGTTTTGTTCTCCTTGTTGACAGGCTTGGGGCATATTACATATCATTAATATGGCTGACTAATTCCTAATTAGGAACTCATTAGCAGCTCCACAACTGTAGAGTTTGATGGATTTGCAGCCAATCTTTAAAAAGGTCACAATAAATGACCTCTGGCGAAGACTATCCCACCTGTCTATCAGTTAATACCAGTATTTTTTGCTGAAAAATGTAATCATTTTGCTTCTCCTTGGGAAGATGCACAAGGCCTATTTCTTTTACAAGATTATTATGTTTAATTAAATATTTATATTAATGAATGCATTCTTTGCTTTTGATTTTCTGATACAAAATGTCCATCCTCCACATACCTTATTTCAATTAGCCGTTTTCCTTTTAGAAGGTATGGATATGTCAGTGTGTGAGATATAACTGTTAAAGCAGAAGGTTAAGATTAAAAAGAAAAAAAAGAGGCTGGGCGCGGTGGCTCACGCCTGTAATGCCAGCACTTTGGGAGGCTGAGGAGGGCGGATCATGAGGTCAAGAGATCGAGACCATCCTGGCTAACATGGGGAAACCCCGTTTCTACCAAAAATACAAAAAATTAGCTGGGCGTGGTGGCGGGCCCCCGTAGTCCGGCTACTCGCAAGGCTGAGGCAGGAGAATGGCGTGAACCTGGGAGGCGGAGCTTGCAGTGAGCCGAGATCGCGCCACTGCACTCCAGCCTGGGCGACAGAGCGAGACTCCGTCTCAAAAAAAAAAAAAAAGAAAATAAGAAAGTGACATTTTAGTGATTCCCATAGCAACTGTAGAAGTTTACAACATAGCACATGTACTACTCTAAAGGAAACACTTTTATATTAACGAAAGCTATATTATTGAAACACATATTTTCATTATTATCATTTTGGAAAGAGAGAAAATCAAACTATTTTTATAGTGAAATATGGAGCATCACTTTAAAATATGTCATTTTAATTTGAAAGCATATAAGGTTGCGCTTAAAATATAAAATCATGTTGGTCGGGCGCGGTGGGATTACGCCTGTGATGCCAGCACTTTGGGAGGCCGAGGCGGGTGGATCACAAGGTCAGGAGATCGAGACCATCCTGGCTAACACGGTGAAACCCCGTCTCAGCTAAAAATACAAAAAATTAGCCAGTGCGTGGCGGCGGGCGCCTGTAGTCCCAGCTGCTGGGGAGGCTGAGGCAGGAGAATGGCGTGAACCCAGGAGGCAGAGCTTGCAGTGAGCCCGGATTGCGCCACTGCACTCCAGCCTGAGCGACAGGGCGAGACTCTGTCTCAAAAAAAAAAAAAAAAAAAAAATTAAAACCATGTTAAACTCAGTCGTATTTTAAACATATAGAATGTATTACTCTATGTTCTCTTTTCTCCTGCCTACTTTCTTTTCTTTTTTTGTTTTCTATTTTTGTTAGGGTTCATATTTATATAATTCATAGAGAATATAAAATTCAACAGGGAAATTTTTGGAAACCTAAGTTACCTCAGGTTGTTCTGAAAATTTTCCAGGGTATATAAGAAGGTATTTGCTATAGTTGGGGAAATAGTAGAGAATTAAAACACGCAACAATTCAATTTTCATTTTTTTCAAGTTGTCTGTAGATAAAACTCAATAAGTCCTATGCAAAATAAAGGAAAGATGTGTATGGTTGCAAAAGCTGGAGAGTGGTTGCACTCTCTTCCAATCTCTTAATTTTATTTTATTTTATTATTTTTATTTTTTGAGATGGAGTTTCACTCTTGTTGCCCAGGCTGGAGTGCAATGGCACGATCTTGGCTCACCACAACCTCCGCCTCCCAGGTTCAAGTGATTCTCCTGCTTCAGCCTCTCTAGTAGCTGGGATTACAGGCATGTGCCACCACACGCGGCTAATTTTTATATTTTTAGTAGAGACGGGGTTTCTCCATGTTGGTCAGGCTGGTCTCGAACTCCCAACCTCAAGTGATCTGCCTGCTTCGGCCTCCCAAAGTGCTGGGATTACAGGCATGAGCCACCGTGCCGGGCCTCTTAATTTTAAAAATTATGAAATTTGAGGTCCAGACTGAATAATCGAATTACCAAAATCATGCTGGGTTTTTTTGTTTTTGTTTTTTCTGTTTCTTTGTTTATTTTTTTGTTTGTTTTTTTGTTTTTACTCCCCAAATAGAACCTGGCTTCCAGGCCTACGAGGTCCGTCCATGTAAACCACAGTAGGTCCAATTCTTTTTGATTTGATTTATTTATTAAAGATATATTGATCCCACGTTATGTACTAGACTGTGTTAGAACTGGGAATAGATAAAATTAAAGGCAAATGTTATAATTGTCCTATAGAGTTTGTCTGGCACAGAGGATAGACATTCAATGAGAAGATGTAATAATGAATGATGCAGATTGAGATGGGAAAGAACAGAGTACTATGGGGGAATATTAAAAAGAACGTAAGCAAGTCTACAGGGCACAGAAAAGCCATCACCAATGAGGTGACTTTTAAGCTGAGGCCTGATATACTCTGTTTATACTCATTTATATGTTAACTTCATACACGTAACTGGGGAAGAGAAAGCATCGGCAGTCCTCCTGTCTATAAACAGAAGATATGATGGTGTTAGGCAGATGGGAACCTTTGCTTTTGATGACTTGTTTGAAAACCTTTTTTTTTTCAGTTAATTTCTGTATCTATCTATTTTTAGACACTGGAAAAAGCAGCAGTGATTTCTTTATTAAAATGAGAAATAGTCCAGACACACAGAGTCAATGTATGTTTTAGTTAATAAACTGCAAATGTTTTATGGGCTGTTGTCCAATATAAAATAAGGGGTAGAAGTTAATTAGGCATATTTTTGTCAGCATTCTATTTTAAAATGGAAATAAACAGAAAATAACTCTTTGAAATCCAGTATTGTATGCTCTCGTGGTAGCTGAAGCTCAAAGAAGATAGTAAAAAAACAAACAAACAAACAAAAAACTGAACTGCCCAGCAACTGAGTGCACAACCTTGTATGGGAATGAACAGCTGTTCTTAGAGTAGTTACACAAAATCTGGGGTTCTTTAGAAATTACATAAAAATGAAAAGAAACAAGAAATCTTCCAGGTGACAGTCTTCAACCAAGCTGAGTTTTCTCTGTAGGTAGCTGGGAGCCACTTACAGTGAATGAAGAGAGGGGTGCAGACCAGGACTCAGTCATGTAGGATAAGGTAGAATGTCTTGATAAAATAAAATACAATTAGTAAAGAACCAGAAATCATCTAGTTGGTGTGAAAAAATATTAAGGTAAGGAAAAGTAGTATATTTGAATAAAGGCTGTTTAGTACCACAGTATTTAAATCCTGAGTGCTTGCAATGTATTGATCCTAAGTTGTTCAACCTGTGTTCATCTTATCTCCTCACATAGTGAAAAATTTCCTTGAGGACAAGGTCTACACCTCATAATTATTTAGCAGCTTCAGATTTATTTGAACAGTAATGATCTGAGAGCAGACATTCCAAAAATAGTCTTTCACCAATCCAGTAGAATTCAGCTATTAAGATGCTGCCCTCATTGCCCTGAATTGACTGACATTTTATGTCTCTAACTTGAGATTATGTAGACACTGACTCTGATCAGCAGTCACAGTGGATGTTCAGCTAGAGCAGATGTTGGCAGCATTTAAATGAAATGAATCATTCTGGAGCTGTGGTCAAAATTATCTTATCCATTCTTTAGAGTTTATTTGAAATATCATTTTCTCTAGGAAGCTTTCTCAGAAAGGGCCATGTCACCCCATTTTTAAGTATGTAGTCTTTCTCCTTTGTAAAGGTTAAGTAACATAAATAAATTATTAACTATTTAATTCTTTGTTCAAAGTTCTCTATCCCTATCAAAACCAAAGAACTACAAGTAGAAGAAATTTGTCTGTCTAATTCACCACTATTTTTTCCAGAGCCCCTATGATAATATTTTGCTCATAACAGGGGATCTATATATATTTGTGAAATACTTTAATAGGAAATGTGACTTAAGAGTTTGAGATATGGGTTCTTTTTCAACTGTGCTGTTGTCTAGCAATGAGAAATTTTATGAGCCAAATAAGCATCTTACTACTTACTATTTCTCTCTCAGGAAAATCACCAAGTTTGTCGTGATGTTCAAATGAGCGCTAACTTGAGCTCTAATCACTACCCATCTACAAACAAGTTTTGAGAGGTTAGGTAAACTTTTATTATCCTCATGTTTTAACACTCAAAATGAAAATGTTGAAAATTAGCAGAATAGTAAAGGACACTATGTCAGGGAAATAGAGAGGCAGTATAATTAATAGTTAACAACTGCAGCCAGAGTGTTGAAGTCCCACAACTGGCTTCACCACTTTCTGGCATTTGATCTGGGCAAGTTGACCTCTTCAGGTTGCAGTTTCCTCATCTATGAAGCAGGCTTTTTTAACCATTAAATAAATTGAAACACTTGCAGCACTTAGAACATTTTGGGGTGTTAAATAAGTGCTTAAATTTAATATAATCAAATATTGGATTTAGAAATCTCACTTTAAATTTAATATGGTGGAAGTTATACAAGAGGACAAGTTTTTTGCGGGAAGATGAGTTTAGAAACCAGTTTAATTATTTAGGTGATAAATGATGATGGTGTGCTTCAGAATATTGGCAAAAGAGGTGGAGAGAAATGGAGGTAGTCAGAAGGTTTCCAGAGTACATATCAACAGAGGATGGTAAATTATTATATGGAGAAGATGATATATACTGGTTTCCCCATGATCAATTGGAGGAATCTTGGTGCCACTCACTGATATTAAAAAACAGCAGGGATAGATGAGTTTTGTTTTGTATCCTATTGAGTTAGAGTTGTCTGTGGGACATCCAAGACAGCTATCCAGTAGCGAGTTTGATATATAGATTTGTAATCCAAGCAAGAGAGCCAGAATGAAGAATAAGCCATAAATGAAAGATGAGAAAAGACAATAGTGGGAGGAAGTAGAAGGTCATGCATGGGGGAATAGTTAAGACTGAAAAGTCTCCAGTAGCTCATATGCAGATGAGGCAGCCAGAGTGAGGAATAAGTTGGAAGTAGAAGAGCAATCACGATTTTAAAGAAAGAAGTAGGAGATAAAATTCAAAGCACAGATATAGGCAATAGTAATGACACCTCTGTCATTTACAGAGAAAGTTTCAAAGAAAAGTACACATATTTGGATAGTTGGGATAATATTAATTTTTGTCTTTCTAATGGAGTATTAGTTTTCTATTGATGTGTAATGAAAGAAAACACATGTAGTGACTTTAAACAATACCCATTGATTATCTCACAGTTTTGTAGGTTAGATGTCTGAGGGGGCTCAGCTGAGCGTTCTGCGCGAGGTTACACAAGACAGAAACCAGTGTGTTCACCAGGCTGAGCTCTTACCTGTAGGCAAGGTAAGAGCTGTTCTAAACACATTCAGGCTATTGACAAAATCCATTTACTTGTAGTTGAATGTCTTTTATCCTTGTTTTCTCACACGTGCAACCTGAGATTGCTGCTCTGCTGCTAGAGTTCTTACACATTCCTTCACAAATGGCTTTCTGCATCTTCAGGCAAGGTGTGGCACATCAAATCTCCCTTATGCTTCAGTCTCTCTACCTACCTCTTACTCTACATCTTCCTGACTTCTGTCTCTGATGTTAAGGTTCCTGTGATTACATTTAGCCCACTCAGATAATTTAGGATTATTTCTTCAATTTAAAGTCAACTGATTAGCAACCTTAATTACACTGCAGTGTCTTTATCATGGAAGGTAATATATTTATTGGTGTTACAGATCACCGTATTCAGTCACAGATACCAGGAGAGTAAGGAAATGTTCTCAGAGAACATAATTCTACTTACTGTAAATGGTGCTTTCTTTCCTCTCTGGAGAAAGAGGAAAAAAACATATATTAACAGGGAGGATGGAAAAGCTGAAATGACTGAAGATTATAGCCACAGGTTAAATGATATTTTTACCAGTGATGTATAAAAATATTTCTTTTATTTCCTAAAAAAGTGAAATTCTCTCTTTACCCTCCTACCCAGCCCAAACATTACTTTTTTCCTAATCAGCTAATTAATCACTATTTGGTGTAGGAAGTAAAGAGATCTGGTACTAGTCTGTTCTTGCACTTCTAATAAAGACATACCTGAGACTTGGTAATTTATAAAGGAAAGAAGTTTAATTGACTCACAGTTCCACATGGCTGGGGAGGCCTTACAATCATGGCCAAAGGCAAAGGAGGAGCAAAGTCACATTTTACGTGGCAGCAGATAAGATAGTTTGTATAGGGGAACTCCCATTTATATAATCATAAGATCTCCTAAGACTTATTTACAACCACAAGAACAGTATGGGGAAAACCGCCCCATAATTCAATTATCTCCACCTGGCCCTGCCCTTGACATTGTGGTGATTATTACAATTCAAGGTGAGATTTGTGTGGGGACACAGTCAAACGATATCAGATATATGTTTGGAACTATGTTATATTTGTTTTTACATAAATTATATAATCAAGCATATGTTGTTTTGCAGTTTGCCTTCCCTTTTTTCTTAATTTTGCTGGATGCCATTTTATATCAATATATATTAATCAATCTCATGTTTTATGCTACTGTATATGAATGTCACTTTATGTGTAATATAATTATAAATAAATTTAAAAGTAGCCATTGCCCCAATTAAAGAGATCTAGGGTTATTTCTAATTTGTGTTATTATAAATAATGCTTAATTAACCTATTTAGTATATGTTTTTAATGTATAGATGGAAATAAGAATTATAAATTCATAGGAGACTGTTTTAATAATTTTGATTCCAATGTTTTCTGTTATCTAGTTTGCAAATGTATATGGCTATGTGTGTATCCATACCTTTCTGTATTTTAATTTATCATTATTTCTCCTATAGTGTTCATTTTTTACGTCTCGTTTAATAAACCTTGTCTAAGACAAGGGTATAACCAGATTACATTGTGTTTTCTTTTCCTCTTTCTCTTTCTATGTACATGTGTGTATATATATGTAAAATACAACATATTTAATATGATTTCATTTATACCCTATATTTGAAGTTTACAACATAATTATTTAATATGATTTCATTTATACCCTGTATTTGGGGTTTTTGAGTTATGGGTGATATGGATCTATCTGTATTATTTTTTATATCTATAGTCAATTATTTCCACACCATTTATTTTTATTCAATTTCTCCCCACTCATTTGAAATGCCACATTAATTTATTCTCACTTCTTTAACTACACAATTTAGGTTCTGATACATTTTTTATATTGCATTTACATACCTGCCATTATAACATCACAGTATTTTAATTACTATAGCTGTAAAATACTGTAATAGGAAATGTCCACCCTTTTTGTAGTTGCTTTTTCCAATTTTTAAAAAATTTTTTGTAAACTAATGTTTTTATTTTAATTGTGAAACTTCACAGAAATCGTGGTAAAGTTTTTATTGACATACATTAATTTACTTATTAATTTGAATAAATTTTATAGGTATTATATTAATTTTTTTGAAACCAAGGAGCATAATATATCACTTCAGTTACTTAAGACTTTTATTATGGACTTCAGAGAGTTTAATTATTATCTCTATTAAAATTCTATTCTCTCTTACATTCTCTCTTTTATATATTAGATATATATATTTTCTTGGCTTTTATAGTTTGCCCTGCTTCTGTAATACAATCAAATTTGTCAGGATTTCCTCTGATTCCCCACCGTATATACTTGAGCAAGTTATTTGAGGTAAAGTTTAAGATGAAGCACCATGAGCTGCTGGCTCTTGCCTTTGTCTTCAGTAAGTGCGGGCAAAGCAAGTCTGAATTTAAATATTTCTGAGTTCTCAGTTTGACAAGCTGTGCCTCCCGCTCAGTGTTACTTTCTGAGGGCAGGCAACTCCTATCTCTAGCACTCACAGGTGGGTCAGAGTGCTGAGCTGAAGCCACTTCCAAACAAAGGGCCCATGAACTAAACATGGTGGTGTTTTGTATTTTTTGGTTTTGTCAGTTTGTTTAAGCATTTGGTATATTAAGTTATGAAACGTTATTTTGGTGGCATTCCCAGCATTTGCAGCATTATTCTTTGAAATAATTTTATGGCTGCTTTTGTCCTTTTTTTTTTTTGCCTCTAAGCCATTCTTATAATTTCCAGTTCCTCAAAGGGTCCGTCTTTTCATTACCTTGAATGATTTGAATTTATGAGTACTGTTACGTACCTTATGTCATTTTGTTGAATTTGTGGTAGGTGGGAGAGATGATGGTACCTTGTAAAGGGACTTCAAATAATTTTGTGTAATTATTTGTAATTACACAATTACAAAAAAATAGTGTAAAAATGAGCAGTAGTCGAATGACTTCAGGCAATTAAATGACAAAGAAAGCTTAAATATTCGTATTATCATAGAAATATTTTTACTTTATCATATATAATATGACATAGAAAAGTCTTATTATCTGTCAAGCATTTCAAATTATATCTAATAGTTTCAGTTACTAATTAATTTTTTCTTAAATGGTATTTGAAATCCATTGAACTATTTAAGCTGTTCCAACTTGCAAATAAAGATCTTTACTTTCTATCTTTAACAAAATTATTCATAGAATGAGTTTGAACCATAGTGTCAGGCAATATTAAGTGAGGAAAGTTAATTAAAATTCAGTAAAACTAAAGTCACTTGTTATTAATATTTAGGGAGTGAGTTAACAGAAGCTGTTGTAATAAACATACATTTTTGGAATGTAATTTATTTAAAAATTATAAGCTCATGTAAAATTTTTAATCATATAAACCTTATTAAACCCTCATCATTATATTCATGTTGTAACTGTATCTTAATAATTTTTACCTTTTTGTGTTTCCTTTGCATTGTGAACTTTAAAAGTTGACCAACCATTCTTTTTGTAAAGAAGTAACCCTTTTTTTTATCTGCCAGAGCTAAAGAACACATAAAAACAAACTTTGTCGTTTGATAAACTAAATATTTTTCAATATTATCCAGTATGGTTGTTGAGAGTATTCTCTAGTATGTGGGTTGTGACATTTTCTTCTCTGGGATTTTTGTTTTTTTGTTTTTTTTGTTTTCTTTCTTTCCCTTTTTTCCATTGCCATCTCACAAGTTGAAGTTATTTGAAAACACACACAAATATTAAATTAAAAAATCATTTATTTTAAGATACACCATTTTTCTAATGTCTGAATATGGGTGAGCATTGAAATCAATGTGTCCATTGAATTATATTCTTCAAAAATATTGTATTAAATCAATTATGTATCTTATAGTTGATGCCATCTTAGAATTGAAATTTTAAAAAATCATTCAAGTCCATTAAATTTTTAAAGCCATATATATGCTTTATTTTTATTATTTAATTTATTATTATTCTTTTGAGACGGAGTCTTGCTCTGTTACCCAGGCAGGAGCTCAGTGGTGTAATCTTGGCTCACTGCACCCTCCACCTCCCAAGTTCAAGCGATTCTCCTGCCTCAGCCTCTTGAGTAGCTGGGATTACAGGCATGCGCCACCATGCCAGCTCCCTCAGTTTCTTGAAGTACATGGGAGTCATATTGGCCAAAGCCTCTTAAAGTAAAAGGAAAAAAAAATTTCAGAGCCTGTTATTGGTCTATTCAGAGATTCAACTTCTTCCTGGTTTAGTCTTGGGAGAGTGTATGTGTCGAGGAATGTATCCACTTCTTCTAGATTTTCTAGTTTATTTGCGTAGAGGTGTTTGTAGTATTCTCTGATGGTAGTTTGTATTTCTGTGGGATCGGTGGTGATATCCCCTTTATCATTTTTTATTGTGTCTATTTGATTCTTCTCTCTTTTTTTCTTTATTAGTCTTGCTAGCGGTCTATCAATTTTGTTGATCCTTTCAAAAAACCAGCTCCTGGATTCATTGATTTTTTGAAGGGCTTTTTGTGTCTCTATTTCCTTCAGTTCTGCTCTGATTTTAGTTATTTCTTGCCTTCTGCTAGCTTTTGAATGTGTTTGCTCTTGCTTTTCTAGTTCTTTTAATTGTGATGTTAGGGTGTCAATTTTGGATCTTTCCTGCTTTCTCTTGTAGGCATTTAGTGCTATAAATTTCCCTCTACACACTGCTTTGAATGCGTCCCAGAGATTCTGGTATGTGGTGTCTTTGTTCTCGTTGGTTTCAAAGAACATCTTTATTTCTGTCTTCATTTCGTTATGTACCCAGTAGTCATTCAGGAGCAGGTTGTTCAGTTTCCATGTAGTTGAGCGGCTTTGAGTGAGATTCTTAATCCTGAGTTCTAGTTTGATTGCACTGTGGTCTGAGAGATAGTTTGTTATAATTTCTGTTCTTTTACATTTGCTGAGGAGAGCTTTACTTCCAACTATGTGGTCAATTTTGGAATAGGTGTGGTGTGGTGCTGAAAAAAATGTATATTCTGTTGATTTGGGGTGGAGAGTTCTGTAGATGTCTATTAGGTCTGCTTGGTGCAGAGCTGAGTTCAATTCCTGGGTATCCTTGTTGACTTTCTGTCTCGTTGATCTGTCTAATGTTGACAGTGGGGTGTTAAAGTCTCCCATTATTAATGTGTGGGAGTCTAAGTCTCTTTGTAGGTCACTCAGGACTTGCTTTATGAACCTGGGTGCTCCTGTATTGGGTGCATAAATATTTAGGATAGTTAGCTCCTCTTGTTGAATTGATCCCTTTACCATTATGTAATGGCCTTCTTTGTCTCTTTTGATCTTTGTTGGTTTAAAGTCTGTTTTATCAGAGACTAGGATTGCAACCCCTGCCTTTTTTTGTTTTCCATTGGCTTGGTAGATCTTCCAACCAAAAAGAGTCCAGGACCAGATGGATTCACAGCCGAATTCTACCAGAGGTACAAGGAGGAACTGGTACCATTCCTTCTGAAACTATTCCAATCAATAGAAAAAGAGGGAATCCTCCCTAACTCATTTTATGAGGCCAGCATCATTCTGATACCAAAGCCGGGCAGAGACACAACCAAAAAAGAGAATTTTAGACCAATATCCTTGATGAACATTGATGCAAAAATCCTCAATAAAATACTGGCAAACCGAATCCAGCAGCACATCAAAAAGCTTATCCACCATGATCAAGTGGGCTTCATCCCTGGGATGCAAGGCTGGTTCAATATACGCAAATCAATAAATGTAATCCAGCATATAAACAGAGCCAAAGACAAAAACCACATGATTATCTCAATAGATGCAGAAAAAGCCTTTGACAAAATTCAACAACCCTTCATGCTAAAAACTCTCAATAAATTAGGTATTGATGGGACGTATTTCAAAATAATAAGAGCTATCTATGACAAACCCACAGCCAATATCATACTGAATGGGCAAAAACTGGAAGCATTCCCTTTGAAAACTGGCACAAGACAGGGATGCCCTCTCTCACCGCTCCTATTCAACATAGTGTTGGAAGTTCTGGCCAGGGCAATCAGGCAGGAGAAGGAAATAAAGGGTATTCAATTAGGAAAAGAGGAAGTCAAATTGTCCCTGTTTGCAGACGACATGATTGTTTATCTAGAAAACCCCATTGTCTCAGCCCAAAATCTCCTTAAGCTGATAAGCAACTTCAGCAAAGTCTCAGGATACAAAATCAATGTACAAAAATCACAAGCATTCTTATACACCAACAACAGACAAACAGAGAGCCAAATCATGAGTGAACTCCCATTCACAATTGCTTCAAAGAGAATAAAATACCTAGGAATCCAACTTACAAGGGATGTGAAGGACCTCTTCAAGGAGAACTACAAACCACTGCTCAAGGAAATAAAAGAGGACACAAACAAATGGAAGAACATTCCATGCTCATGGGTAGGAAGAATCAATATTGTGAAAATGGCCATACTGCCCAAGGTAATTTACAGATTCAATGCCATCCCCATCAAGCTACCAATGACTTTCTTCACAGAATTGGAAAAAACTACTTTAAAGTTCATATGGAACCAAAAAAGAGCCCGCATTGCCAAGTCAATCCTAAGCCAAAAGAACAAAGCTGGAGGCATCACACTACCTGACTTCAAACTATACTACAAGGCTACAGTAACCAAAACAGCATGGTACTGGTACCAAAACAGAGATATAGATCAATGGAACAGAACAGAGCCCTCAGAAATAATGCCGCGTATCTACAACTATCTGATCTTTGACAAACCTGAGAAAAACAAGCAATGGGGAAAGGATTCCCTATTTAATAAATGGTGCTGGGAAAACTGGCTAGCCATATGCTGGGAAAACTGGCTAGCCATATGTAGAAAGCTGAAACTGGATCCCTTCCTTACACCTTATACAAAAATCAATTCAAGATGGATTAAAGATTTAAACGTTAGACCTAAAACCATAAAAACCCTAGAAGAAAACCTAGGCATTACCATTCAGGACATAGGCGTGGGCAAGGACTTCATGTCCAAAACACCAAAAGCAATGGCAACAAAAGCCAAAATTGACAAATGGGATCTAATTAAACTAAAGAGCTTCTGCACAGCAAAAGAAACTACCATCAGAGTGAACAGGCAACCTACAACATGGGAGAAAATTTTCGCAACCTACTCATCTGACAAAGGGCTAATATCCAGAATCTACAATGAACTCAAACAAATTTACAAGAAAAAAACAAACAACCCCATCAAAAAGTGGGCGAAGGACATGAACAGACACTTCTCAAAAGAAGACATTTATGCAGCCAACAAACACATGAAGAAATGCTCATCATCACTGGCCATCAGAGAAATGCAAATCAAAACCACTATGAGATATCATCTCACACCAGTTAGAATGGCAATCATTAAAAAGTCAGGAAACAACAGGTGCTGGAGAGGATGTGGAGAAATAGGAACACTTTTACACTGTTGGTGGGACTGTAAACTAGTTCAACCATTGTGGAAGTCAGTGTGGCGATTCCTCAGGGATCTAGAACTAGAAATACCATTTGACCCAGCCATCCCATTACTGGATATATACCCAAAGGACTATAAATCATGCTGCTATAAAGACACATGCACACGTATGTTTATTGCGGCACTATTCACAATAGCAAAGACTTGGAACCAACCCAAATGTCCAACAATGATAGACTGGATTAAGAAAATGTGGCACATATACACCATGGAATACTATACAGCCATAAAAAATGATGAGTTCATGTCCTTTGTAGGGACATGGATGAAATTGGAAACCATCATTCTCAGTAAACTATCACAAGAACAAAAAACCAAACACCGCATATTCTCACTCATAGGTGGGAATTGAACAATGAGATCACATGGACACAGGAAGGGGAATATCACACTCTGGGGACTGTGGTGGGGTCGGGGGAGGGGGGAGGGATAGCATTGGGAGATATACCTAATGCTAGATGACACGTTAGTGGGTGCAGCGCACCAGCATGGCACATGTATACATATGTAACTAACCTGCACAATGTGCACATGTACCCTAAAACTTAGAGTATAATAAAAAAAAAAAAAAAAAAAAAGGAAAAAAAAAAAAAGACTAGTTCTTCCCACCACTGTCACTTATCATTCAGGACTTGCCAACTCCCTGCAACTTTCTCAAAAAGTAGTGCATAACATTTCTTCTTTTTGTAATACCACTAAACTTCTCATTGTTCTTTGGACATACTAAAGACAAGCCAGTTTACAGTGTATGCCCCAAATTGTAATTCATTCTTCTCAAATAAAGCATTTTAATTTTATGGATTTGTCCCCCTATTTTATTTGACTTTTATAGAAGCCTCACCAGAAACCAATCTTGATGCACCTCTATCTTGAACTTCTAGATTCCAGAAAATAAACGTCTGTTGTTTTGCAAAAAAGAAAAAACAAGAAAAAGAAAAAAGAAAGAAAGAAAGAAGAAGAATATTGCCCAATAACCCTACTAACAAGTACCCACTTAAAATGCTTCTTCAGTTTCCTTCCATAAATGTAGGTGTGAACAAAACAAAATGTAATTTGAGGGTTGTCACTTAAGATTTCTAGCAGACACAAGTACTTCTATTTTAGAACAAACCCTGATTATTTACTTCAGGGAATTGAAATGTCAAAAAAAAATAGACTGGACAGACAAAAATCCTAATATACATCCAACCAGTTATTATAAAATTTTCTCAAAAATGTATGTAACAGAGAGTTATAGAGCAAGAAAGGAAGGAGAACACAGAATTAAAGTCCTAAACTGTATAGAAAGATGACCCCTCATATGTTTGTATTCACTGTCCTTATTCATTTGCCATTGCATTTATTCTCACATAAAATATTATTACATGATTGTCTACTTGATTTTTTATTTTCCTCCACTAGAATGTAACTTCCATTAGAGTACAGTTCATGTTTATTTTATTCATCAAATTATCTAAAGCTCTAGTATAGCATCTTGCACAGAGTAGCTATTCAATATTATTTTAGAATGATTAGACGAGATTGGAACTCACCCATGGAGAAAGATAGCCAGTGAGATCCTTTCAATGGTGAATTGACTTGAGGTTTTTTAAGAGTAAGAATTATCTAAGATTTATTTTTTTTCCAAGTGAAAACTGTTCAGTTAGGGTAGATTTAATTTTTATATCTAGAAATTGAATCAAATTTTACATTCAAAGACTTGATTCTTTTTCATAAGCATGTACTTTTTATAATACACATTGTCTAACATCGAGATAAATTCCCTATTATTTTCCTAAGATATTTTCCGCCTTTTGCAGCAATGAGAATACTGCAGCAATGAGTATTTTGCAGCAATGAGTATTATACAGCAATGAAAAATCCTATCAAGAAGAAAATTATTAAATTGAAATAGAATTCCATTTCATTTCTTTAGAGTTTCCACAGTCACTCACGCTCAAATAATCTTTGCTTTTCATTAATTTTAGAGAGTACAGGGCTTTTGCTAGTGTTGAGTTAGGTGACTGGGAATGATAAATGGGATAAACTGCATGGTGAATAGAATGAATTCTGCAGAAGCAGAGACTTAGAGCAGTTAGTGTTATTAATCAACAAGTCCCCAGGATTAACAAAAAATTTGGAAGTTTGGAATTCTCACAGAACATTAAGAAGTTTGGGCCAGTATGATTCCCATGTACAAGCACAAGGCAAATCCAGTTATGGTCTGCACATAAAAAGGCATGCTGACAATGACAGTTCACAATACTGTTAAAAGGATAGAATGAGTTGGTTTACTATAGCATAATAAGTATAATAGGATGAAATGATGTTCTATTCATATCATAATTATTTAAATAAAATCATCACAATTGGGCCT
This sequence comes from Homo sapiens, assembly GCF_000001405.40. Taxonomy (NCBI): domain Eukaryota; kingdom Metazoa; phylum Chordata; class Mammalia; order Primates; family Hominidae; genus Homo; species Homo sapiens. The sequence goes on from NC_000016.10 coordinate 60,881,795, forward strand.
TTTATTCCTTAAGCTGTTGAAAACAGGCAAGATATTTTCATTTCCATTGAAAAATTAAAGTATGAAATAAATTCAAGTAGGAAATATTTAATTCATCAAAAATAGCCATTTAAACGCTATACTAGAACTAAGATGAACTCCTCAGGGATCTCTGACAGCACTTAGAGTAAATTTAATTCCCCAGAGTCCAAGCTAGGGTAGGTGAAAAATGTACACGGAGCAAGGGGTGTCTATGCCATTCAAATGAGTATGCAGTTCTTAGAGGACATGGAAAGTCAACACTCCAAGGTTACAGGCTGGACAGAAAGATGGGACTATGGACATAAAATAAGTGTATGTGTCTGCAAAAGATAATATAATAAATAGATAATGTAGCAGCTTGCACACATATCAAGTCAGGAGGTTTTGAACACAATTGATAAGTAATATAAGATTATGAGAAGCTAGTGTCTTTGCAGCATGGAATTCACCATCTTTACTATGCCAGGTCAGGAAAGACAAAGGATTCTCAAAGAGAGAATGAATCGTGTGTCTCCCTGAATACTGAATATGTTACTGATGAACACAGAGAATTGAAAAGAACTAATATAATCAAGTTAAAAAATAGAGTAGTAAGTTTTGGATTAGTAGCCAAAACCAATTTCTAGTAACATATTGGTGTCCTTCAAAATATTGGAGGATATATGTACATGAATAATTAATGTAAAAACATCAATTACTATTCATCGAGAAGTGAACATTTTGTTGTATATTTTTGGAATTAATAACTTAGGTTTTTTACATTAATTCCATAACATGGCAGAAAGCTTATGGTTTCTGATACAATTATAAGTGAACTTCAGCTTAAAAGATAAATTTGCAGTTAGGTTTGTGCATTCAGACATCCAAAAATATCTAAAGGAATCAACAGAACTTCCTTTTGTTCTTTGCAGTATCTTTAAAATATTTCACTTTGATTTGATATTATCTGACATTGGTGCTATTTGAATCATTGAAATAAGAGCTCCATGTCTAGTGATATAAGTTTCTGAGATATTCAGAAAGTCAGACAACACTATATTAATTAAATCACGAATTTTTTATGTAGCTTTTGTCTCTTCCTCATTGCATTAACCAGAAGACTTTATTCCCTCTAGGACTGTAAATCAGCGAATCTTGGGCTAGCCATAGAAGCATTAAGAATGTCTTAGCTGTCCTGGGCAGTAACTCAGTTCTGTGAAATTACATCCACTGGGATCTATGGGGTGCTTGAGACAGTTTTATTTCTCAAATTTATTACATTCTTTCACAACTTCTCTTAAAGATTTCATAAACTCACAATGAAGAGTGGTCACTTAGATTCAGGCTCCAAACATAGCAGTGGTAATCAGGCTTGCCTTTTCCTGTGTCTTACATGAATAGCAAGAGCATTAACTAGTAATAAAGGTACCTGTTGATCAGGGGGAGAGAAGGCCCAGGCAGTTATCTTCTGCCTTAACGTCCTGCCTGGGAGATTTCTCTGGGTCATTTAGCAAGCCAACGCTCTGTCACAACTGAGCTTAAATTTTATAGAAGGACAATTTTTGGATTTCAAAAAGAACTCACAGGACATTTTCAAACTCTTTACTGTTTGACCTATTTGCATATTTCTAAAGAAAATTTTACATTGTTTTATTACAGAAGCAGATGTGATTTTATATTAGTAAACAGTGACTCAAATTTTTATTGTTTTATGGTTTTATTGATTTGTTTGCTTTATGTCTTGGGGAGCAAGATGTCTTTTTTGCTTGCCTTATTAAATGTATTTGATTTAATAACCTAGAATGAGCTGGAGTTAAAAGTAAAAATTATATACATATATATAAACATACACACATGCAGATACATGCACATACATGCATATAACTTATGTGTGCATCTGTTTGTGTGTATGATTCAGTATTTAGCAAATTACTGGATTTTGATCTAACAGTAAATAATAATTTTAAAAAACTTGATGCAGTTGCAAACTAAAATATTCCATTTGAGTTTACTAGATAATAATGTATTAATATTTAAAATAACATACCTCCTAACCATCTGTCTGATATATTTCAAAAGTGCATTTATATGCCTTTGTGGAACTATAAAGCAACTTTTGTAAAATGTTCGTACTAAAAAATCTTGTGAGGAATATACGGTCATCAATCCATAATGGTTTACTGAGCTACCCAAAGCAACACACAATATTTTAAATTTTCATAGGAAACACAGCAAAACTTGAGATATTTTGAATATTTCATACACAACTAGTTTGATATTCTTCTCTGCTTCAATATTAAATTAGGTTACATTCCTTTGATACCAACGTGTCTTTAATAATTCAGAATTTCTGTTGTCGCCATGATTAACCACACCAACAACAAAAGTAAAATGTCAAAAATCTGTGTGGAACAACAAATGTGATTAGTGATATCTAATCTGGTTTCAAGATTTGAAAAATTATGTGGGACTATCATATACATATGGTATACATATATGATATATATGATATATATGGTATACGTATATCATATATATGATATATATGATATATATGATATATATCATATATATCATATATATCATATATATGATATATATGATATATATGATATATATCATATATATGATATATATGATATATATGGTATACGTATATGATATATATGATATATATGATATATATGGTATACGTATATGATATATATGATATATATGGTATACGTATATCATATATATGATATATATGGTATACGTATATCATATATATGATATATATGATATATATGGTATACGTATATCATATATATGATATATATGATATATATGGTATACGTATACCATATATATGATATATATGATATATATGGTATACGTATACCATATATATCATATATATGATATATATGGTATATGTCATATATATCATATATATGATATATGTCGTATATGTCATATATATGTCATATATATCGTATATATCATATATGTGTGATAAATATCATATATATGACATATATATGATATATGTATCTTAGCTGTCTATTCTACATGATCTATTTGTCTGTTTCATCACCAATACCACACTGTCTTGATTACTGTAGATTTTATATATATATTTTTTTTTTACATAAAATCTGGTTTCAAGATTTGAAACCTTATGTGGGACCTATTTTATATATATATATGCAGTATATATATATACTGTATATATATATACAGTATATATATATACTGCATATATATATGCAGTATATATATACTGTATATATATATATGCAGTATATATATATATACTGTATATATATATGCAGTATATATATATATACTGTATATATATATGCAGTATATATATTCTGTAATTGTGGTCTTTAAGATAGACATAAGGACTTTCTTTCAATTTATGTGAATTATGTTTTTCAAATTACTATTAGGTTTTAGAGTATAAATACTTATAATTTGGCCTTAAATATCTAGTAACATTATAATGTTTATTTTAGGTATTTCCTTTGGCCTGGCATGAGGTGAAAAAATACTAAGACTCTAAGGGTGTTGTGAAATCAGAAATTGTCAGAATCTCTTGTATTAAGGGAGTCTTAGGACTACTTCTCTTTAATTGACTATTAAAAACAACATTTGTTAAGTGAAATATATTAGCTTAAATTTTAAAATATTAGATTAGAGATATTTTTCTAGTTTTACTTTGCTATGAGGTTTTATAATACGTGAGTGTTGACTTTTAAAATTTATTTTTAAAATTTTTGTTTTAGTTTCTTTGTTTCACTTTTTCTCCCTTTTAAATAGACTATTTTTAGGAGCAGCTTTAGATTCACAGAAAAATTGAGCAGAAAGTACAGAGTTCCCATATAACCCCTGCACCATCACATGCATAATTTCTTCTACTATTAACATCTCTCGCCATACTGGTAAGTTTGTTACAATTGACAAAACCACATTGACACATCATTGTTACCCAAAGTGCATAGTTTGCATTGGGTTCACTCTTGGTCTTATGCATTCTGTGGCTTAAACAAACATACAATGAAATGTATACAGCCTTATGGCACTATACAGAATAGTTTCACTGCCCTAAAACTCTTCTATGCTTTGTTTATTCATCCCTCCTTTCCTCCAAACCCTGGTAACCACTGACCCTTTTACTGTCTTCATCATTTTGCCTTTTCCAGAATGCTATATAGTTGGTATCACACAGTGTGTAGTGTTTTCAGATTGGCTTCTTTCACTTGGTAATATGCATATATAAGTTTCCTCCCTGTCTTTTTCTGACTTGATAGCTTATTTCTTTTCAGTGCTGAATAATATTCAATTTTCTGGATGTACCACAGTTTATCCATTCCCACACTAAAGGACACCTTTATTGCTTCTAAGTTTTGGCTCTTACAAATAAACCTCTTATAAACATCCATGTGCCAGTGTTCATGTGGACACAAGTTTTCAACTCATTTGAGTAAATACCAAGAAGCACAATTACTGGATCCTATGGTATGGGTATGCTTACTTTCTTCAGAAACTGCCAAGTCATTTTCCATTGTAAATGAATTACTCTCTTTTATTCCTATCAGCAATAGTGAGAGTTCCTTTTCCTCTCTTATCTTCCTCAGGATTTGGTGTTACTATTTTGGATTTCGACTGTTCTAGTAGGTGGGTAATGGCATCTTGTTGTTTTAACTTACAATTCCCTAATGACAAATAATGTGTATTATCTTTTCAGATGCTTTTTCTGCCATCTATATAACTTCTTTAGTGAGCTAAATATTGAGGTATTTTGTCAATTTTTAAATCTTGTTAATTTTCTTATTGTTGAGTTTTAAGTGTTCTTTGTATATTTCAGCTAACAACCCATTATCAAATATGTATGTTGCAAATATTTTGTTTCGATGTACGACTTAAAAGGGTTTTCAGACCAGAACCTTTTAATTTTAATGGTGTTCAGCTTATCAATTACATTTTTCATGAGTCATGTCTTTGTGTTGAATTTTAAAAGCCATTGCCGAAGCCAAGAACATCTAGAATTTCTCCTTTGTTCTTCTAGAAGTTTTGTAGTTATGAATTTTATATTTAGATCTATGAAACATTTTGAGTTAATTTTTGAGGATTATGTGTATATAAATTTATATTTTTTCATGTGGGTGTTCAGATCCAGCACAATTTATTAAAGAGATGATAGTATTGTATTGCTTTTGTATCTCTCTGTTGTGTTGCATTTTCTCCTTTGTCAAAGATCAGTTAACCATATTTACGTGAATCTGTTTCTTAGTTCTCTATTCTACGTGATCTATTTGTCTGTTTCATCACCAATACCACACTGTCTTGATTACTGTAGTTTTATAGCAAGTTTTGAAATTGGGTAATGTCAGTCTTTTTGCTTTGTTCTCTTTCAATATTGTGTTAGCTGTTCTGGGGTGGTATTTTTTTTCTTCTCCATATAAACTTTAAAATCAGTTTGTTAGTATCCACAAAACAATTTCCTGAAATTCTGAGATTTTAACTAGGATTGCATTGAAAATCTAATTAATAAAAATATGATAATAGAAAATAAAGCAAATTAAAAAACAGTATAACAACTGCTTACATACCATTTACATTGTATTATATATTGTAAGTAACCTAGAGATGATGTAAAGTGTAACAGGAAGATGTGCATAGATTATACACACTATGTCACTTTATATAAGGGACTTGAGCATTCATGGATAATGGTATCAGCTAGGGGTGCTGAAACCATTCCCCCATGGATACCAAAGGATGACTTTGCACAAATACACCCATTTCTCCCCTAGAAAACTGGGCATATTTAGAAGTGAATGCTTTATAATGGAGTTCCACTTACATTTCCTCAATTTACTGTGCTGAGCATTAAGCTTAGAATTTAGATATTTATGCACTTGTACTTCAGTAAAAATTACATCTTACAAACTCAATTCATCTTAATGTGAACTGTCACCAAATCTCAGTCTCCAGCTTAGCAGATATGTCAGCCAGTCCTTAATGAGATTACATGAATATTGGCTGATTTTTATAGATGAACTTAGCCTTCCGTTGCTAAAAGGCTAAAAATTCCAGATGGCTAGAATTTCAAAGGTTTAGAATTTTGGGCTTGGAGTTAGAACATCGTGTGTTGGCAACCTAGTAGTATTGCATGTGTTATTGTTCAATTATAAAACAAAACAAAAATTATAACTTTTTTTTGCTCCAGTTAATTGTCTAAAAAATTTAAAATATAGATAATACCAATGCTATTAGTTGACAACAGAAAACAAAACACATTACTCATTTTGAAGAAAGAGAAGCCAGATTCATCTTGTTCCTTCTATTCCCTCTTTTTATTGTAACTGAAGTCTAATTGAAAAAAAAAAACTGTTGTGTACAGTGATAAGCTGCTCAGTTGAAAGCTTTAACCTATGTGCTATGTATACCTTTGATAATCTGCTCCATCAAGATTTTATTGTATTTTTTAGTAACCTCTGCATATCATTTTGGGGGAGGTCCTAGGAATATTCATTGCTCTCCTCACTTTATCGATTGTCCAGTGGTAATTTGAAATGTACAGTATGAGAGATTTTGGCTGTATAAAATGGAATTAAGTTATTTACAAACGTGGTTTTACTAGCTTATAAACAAAACAAAATCACTAATATTGGAGGGATAATAAAATGTCACGCTCACTTATAGCGACATTAGATCCTGGGTTCTCTTTGTACTTTGTCTCTGGCTGTCACTGTTGAAAGCAGGTGTCCCAGTGTCTATTTGTTTGGACCTAAAGAACTCAGGGCCCCTAATCTAATGCCAATGTTGATAGCTCCTCTACTAGTTTCTGGCTATTGGTGCAATTTCTGTAATTGCAATAAAACTTGTATTGAATTATTGAGGAAGATCAACAATCTATTCCACTAACCACAACCCATAAAGTTTTCCTTGCTTTGTCATAAATTATAAGAATACCTTTTATTCAAATGTAGAATAACCTAGATCCCAGAACATTTTTAAATTGCTAAACATGACATGTATACAGAATGATAGATTGCTGTAAAAGGTGACAGTAATTGTATACATACTGTTAAATGTTTCTCAATGAAAAGTGAATCTTAACAGTATTGTATGGAAATGCCAATGTCTTAAACATTTGTATACTACTTAATGAAAATTACCCTTCCAGGAGCTTATGGTTGGGCAATGAACATAAATGTTTTCTATTTTACTATATTCACTGCTGTGTTGTATGTAGAGGTAACAGAAATTGAAATTAGCCTAACTATGGCATTATGTACATAAATTCTGAGAAATCCATAAAATCTAATATTATGCAAAATAATCTAATCAAAGTATTTCAAAAATATTTCCTCCACTCAATTCTGTGTTCATTGATCTAATACCTGACACATAAAAAGCACTCAATAAATAATATTTGAATTAATATAAAGGAAAAAAAAATTTTTTGAGATGGAGTCTTGCTTTGTTGCCCAGGCTAGAATGCAGTGGCATGATCTCAGTTCACTGCAACCTCAGTCTCCCGGGTTCAAGCCATTTTCCTGCCTCAGCCTCCTGAGTAGCTGGGACTACAGGCATGCACCACCACGCCTGGCTAATTTTTGTATTTTTGGTAGAGATGGGTTTTTACCATGTTAGACACGTTGGTTGGGTTGGTCTCGAACTCCTGACCTCAGGTGATCTGCCCGCCTAGACCTCCCAAAGGGCTGGGATTACAGACATAAGCCATCGTGCTTGGCCAGAAAATTCTTTTCATTTGTGTTTTCCTGGTTACTTTCCTTACACCAAACTCCATGCTATTTTAGTAAACTCAGAATCATTAAGATAGAATCTATATCAGTAAAAAAAAAAAAAAAAAAAAAGAGTAATTTTTGTGTGGCAAATAATTAGAATTCAGAGCTCAGCAGTATGAAGGCATAATTGCTTTATTGCAGATCACTGGCAAACACAGGTCTACAATCCATTTATATTCGTGTGAATTTAGGAAAATAGTATTTCTTTTCATCTCCAAAATTGAAGAGAAAAGAATGCTTTCAACTGTAAGAAAATGATGTACCATCAAAATTAGAGGCTATCCATATGGTAACAACGTTCTAATTCCTCTTGGCACTAAGTTGATAAAAAAATATTCTGTTTCATAGATAATTTGTTTAGTTTTCCTGATCCCCTTGTTTTTCTTTTCCAATTGAGGGGGAGAAGATAATTCCTATTTTGTACATCTTTATTAATCAGGCAAAACTGGGGAACAGATGTGGGATTCTTTAGCTGTTATGGGGATAGACAGAAGGAGAGCTATAATTTTTAGGCTTGTCGCTTTAAATGATGCCCATGGGACATTAGCATCAGATACAGAGCCATTGAGATGAAGAATCCAAATAGCACCAGTATATAATAAAGGAAAAGTAAATAAGTTGTACTTCTTTGCTGATGTGCATTTACTATACAATAATATAAATACACATTGCTGTTGGTTGTTGACTAGAAGCCAATGGAATCATCCTTGCTACAAGATCTTCAGATTTTCTGTTTCAATGGAGATTGCAATAAAGACACACTTTGCTTAAAAAAAAATCATCCTAGTAGATATTTTTGACAAGTAGTATTAGTCAAATATGGAAGTAGAATTTGAAGGGTCAGGATTAAATGGCCTCCAGATACATTTATCTATATTGTACACTGACTCAGTCATTATCAAATTATGCTTTATTTTATAATAGTAGTTTCAAGCCAATTGCCACATAACAACATCAATCTCTTATATTTTAATGTTCAATAATTGAACTATTGGATTCTATAGAAGCATCTTCAAGAATGCTTATTATTTGCAATAAATATATTTAGGCTAATAAAACTGTACTTGTCAGAAATATTTCCATCATGTGTTTTAATGTGTGCAGCATATATTTTACATACTACGGAGAACAGAAATCAAATAATACATTACATATAAGATTTCTACTTTGATAAAATGTGAAAAATTTTTTTAAGCTAACTTGTTAACCTTCTCTTTCTTAAAGGTAAATCCCTATCTCCATTTTAATAAGTATATCCCATCTCAATCCTGTATCAAGATATAATGAACATTCATAAACAAATAGCATTTTAAGTGATACTCTCTTTGAAAGCCTGTGTTAAGAATTATGTGATTTATTTCATATGCCTTCATAATTCAAAGCCAAGAGTGGTCCCAACCTTTTCTACTGCCATTCTTTTTATTATTTTTTATTATATTTCTAAGGTGCTTATTCAGCTGTATTATTATTTACTTTGACTTTTAAATTCAAAACCACCACTAATGGAAATCAGAAATAATCACCAGCATTACATAAAAGTCCCACTACCTAACACAATGCTCATGTCCTGGGATTTAAAGTGAATAAGATAGGTTTTCTGTTCTCCAGGAGTTTTTGACCTAATCATTACACTGGGGGAAAGAGTTACTTTCAGGGGAGTTGTGAAGTAATTTTGACTTTATAATACTTCTGGTAAATACAAACTCACACTCCACAAATTTGAAGATCCAGATTAATGATCTCTTGACATTCTTCCACCTCCCATAAGAAACATTCCCAAGGATTTTGCCTTCTCTCTAGAATAGCAATGGTTTTAACAGATTTAAAATTAGTAAGGAATGTCCTTATTTTTCAAGAGAAGAAGTTAAAATGAAAAGTGATTTTTTAAATTTGGAAGTTGGAGTCTAATAGGCTTTCTGATATCAATAAATCGCACAGCAGCAACAAAAACAGCAACAAATATACTAAAGTTATTTTTATGTGGTGGGTATTTATGTTTCCAAGTAAAAACTTGCCTTAAAACTTTTGGAACAATATGTAACTAGCAAATATAGTTTTTAAAGTTTTCATACGGTATTCCACAAATGTCTTAGTATATGGTAGAGAAATTGAAGAGAAAATTAATTCCACACTTGAAATTTGTGTAGGTTTACTTCGCTCTAAAGCATAGTTCTTCACATATAAACTTTTATAGGAAAACGGAAGTTTTAGAGTACCTTAAAAAGAAGGCAGTGCTTATTTTGAAGAACAGAAACTAAATTCGAGAGTCCCCTATGAATGATAATCAAAGAGAAAAATACCACAATCCTGACGCCACGATAGAAAAAGAAAAGAAGGGCAGATGCTCAAAATTATTGATCATGGTTTTCATCCAGCAATTTTTTCACAGGAACAACTCTACATACATGAATCCAACCCAGAAGCAGCAGAACTTTATTTAATTATGCTTAATGTGTGCATATAGTAATGGTAATAAGAGCTAACACTCGAGTATTACGATATTGCCCATAGTTGCATGAATTAGCTCATGTAACACTCATAAGAACTATAAACGCTATGATATAGAAAACTATTTTATTCATTTCTATAGGAATATGTATATATGACAATTCATGCAACTGTTCTGATTTCCAAGCTTCTGTTCACATTATTTAAACTTTACACCATCGTTAAGTTTATAAATATTCTATTTACATTCCCTTTCTTGAATTTCCCTCCCATGCCCGGTATATCCACACAATTAGTCAATTATTTCCCAAGTTATTTTCATTCTCTCTCACAATCTGCCTCTCACCTCCCTACATTTTGCTAATTTCTTAACGTCCATCAGGGTTTTTGTTGTTGTTAGTTTAATTTTAAATAGAAACACACATACATTTTATAAGTTTCAAAAGATTCAAGGGTGCATAGTGAAAGTAAGTATCCATTTCACATTTAACTTCTGGTCATGTTCACTCCACTCAGAGACTCCCACAGTTGCAAATTATTTTCCAAAATTTGTGGTGATTAAGTAGAGCAAGAGAAACTATCTGGCTGAGATTTTATAGAAGTAATGCCCAAGACAATATTCGAAGCAAGTCTAAGATCACAGAGAGGAGGTAAAAGCCCCACTAACTGAGCCCAAGTCTCTTTAAATTTCTACACAGTTATTACCAGCTGGCCCTGTCTGATCCTTTTGTCTCTTTTTTCCCGACTAAAACATATATAGTGGGAATCACTGAATTCTTATTGTAGATTGACAATATATAATTGTATAAATTTTATGATATATAATTGTATACATTTATGCAAATGAAGTTATGACTTATGAATACAATGTGAAATAATTAAATCAAGCCAATTAACATTTCCATCATCTCAAATACTTAACATTTTTATAGCAAGTATATTTACCATGCTGTGTAATAGAACTAAAAAAAAAAAAAAGCATATTCCTCCCAATTGAGGTATTGTTCTTTTTGACTATCATCTCCCCATTCCCCCAATCCACTAGGCTCTGTAACCACCATTCTATTATCTGCTTTTATGAGTTAGACAAAGACTTTTTTAGATTTTACCTGTGGGAACATGTGGTATTTTTCTTTGCCTGGCTTATTTTACTTAACATAATATTCTTCAATTCCACCCATGTTATTACAAATTATATAATTTCCTTCTTTCTTAAGGTGGAGGAGTATTCTATTGTGCATGCATACCATTCTTTACTTATCCATTCATCTGTTGATAGAAAATAACCTTGATCCCATAACTGGCCATCGTGAATAGTATGGCAATGAAAATGGGAGGGAAGAAGTCTCTTTGACAAACTGATTTCAGATCTTTCCGGGTAAATATAGAGAAGTGGGATTATTGGAACATATAGCAATTATATTTTTTGATGTCCCTTAATACAATTTTCTACCATGGCCATGCTAATATACACTCCTGCCAATAACATGCAAGGACTCCCTTTTCTCCACATCTTCATCAACACTTGTTATCATTTCTATTTTTTATACTCACCATTCTGACAGGTGTGAGAACATATTTCATTGTGGTTTTAATTTGTATTTCCATAATCATTAGCAATGCTGAACATTTTTTAATATATCTGTTGGCCATTTGTATGATTTTTTTGTTTTTTTGAGATGGAGTCTTACTCTGTTGCCCATGCTAGTGTGCAGTGATGTGATAGCTCACTGCAGCCTCCACCTCCCAGGTTCAAGTGATTCTCCTGCCTCAGCCTCCTGAGTAGCTGGGACTACAGGCACCTGCCACCATGCCAGGCTAATTTTTGTATTTTTAGTAGAGGTGGGGTTTCACCATGTTGGCCAGGCTGGTCTCGAACTCTTCACCCCAAGCGATTTTCCCGCCTCAGCCTCTTAAAGTGCTAGGATTGCAAGTGTAAGCCACCATGCCTGGCCTGATTTCCTTTGAGAGATGTCTATTCAGGTCTATTGTTCATTTTTTAAACAAGTTTTTTTTTCTTGCTATTGAGTTATTTGAGCTCCTTACATATTTTGGATACTAAACTCTTATTGGATGTATGGCATACAAATATTTTTTCCCAATCCGTAGTTTTTTTTTCTTCACACTATTAGCTGCTTATTTTGCTGGACAAAGCCTTTTAGTTTGGTATAATTCCATTGGTCTATTTTTTTATTTTTGTGCCTGCACCTCTAGGGTCAATTTTTTTAAAAAAATCATTGCATAGATTTATATCTTATAGCTTTCGGCCTATGTTTTTCTCTAGCTTTATGATTTCTGGTCTCATGTTTAAGTCTAATCCATTTTGAGTCTATTTTTCTATATGGTGTAAAATAAGGGTCCAAATCCATTCTTCTGCACATAAATATCAGTTTTCCCAACACTGTTTGTTGAAGAGATCATCTTTTTCCCATTGCATATTCTTGGGACCTTGATCAAAAATTAACTGATGATACATGAATGGATTCCTTTCTGGGCTCTCTACTCTGTTACACTGGTCCATGTATCTGATTATATGCCAGTGTATGCTATTTTGATTACCAAATATTTGTAATCTAGTTAGTCAGGACGTGTGATGCCTCCGGTTTGTTCTTTTGGCTCAAGATTCCTTTGGCTATTGTGTGTATGTGTGTGGGGGGGTTCCCCTATGAATTTTAGGATTGTGTGTTCTATTTCTATGAAAAAAAGCCATTGGAATTTTGATAGGGATTACATAGAATCTATAGATTACTTTGGGTAGCATGGACATTTTAGTAATTTTAATTAGATTCATAAGCTACTGAAAACCCCCATTAAATGAAGAAAAATCTCAATTAAAATTGTATTCAAAATGCACATAATTATTTTAAAATAAAATGTTTGTTACATTAATTATTCAAGATCTAGTCTCCTGGGATCAAGTTCCTAGTATAAATAGTACTCTACTTAAAATTTAAAAGCATGCAAACACATTCTGCACCTTCTCCTTCTCCGTTTTAGAAAATTATAATGTGCTTTAAAACTTTCCAAACACATTTTTTACCAATGTGTTAAAAGTATTTATGCTCATTTTATACAATATATCTAGCTACATTATTGGAAAAGATTATTATTAAAGTTTTTATTATTAAAATTATTACTAAAGATTTGCATATTTTTTCTGGAATATTTGTATGAATTTTTCTGTAAAAGCATCAGACTCTTCTGGAGTTAAGCAAAATAGAGTACTCTCACTGGATCCTATTCCTCTTACTAATTAAAAATAAAAATTAAATATCTGGACAACACACAAGCCAACCAGTTGAAAATCCTGAAGGAGGTAGATTTGGAAAGGAAGTAAAAATTTCCAGAAGTAGCACAAACAGAGAGATTGTTCATTTATTTATTTATTTATTTATTTATTTATTTATTTATTATTTCTCACAAAACTCTGACCGGAAGTTGGGAAAGGAATCATGCTGTTAGAATATGTGGGCATCAACATTTCAGGGATAAATCTCCATCTTTCTGGCCAGAGGCCCAGGAAAATGGGCCTGTGAAAGATACAGAGCTTGAAGAAAATCTCCATTATTCTTTGTATCTTTTTATCCCTCTATTCTCTGTCCTGGCTGTGCCCTAAAGATGGACTCTCAGCCCTAGAGCTGTGGCAGAGGCAGCAGGCAACTGAAACTCAAAGAGAAACTCAATCTTTCTGGCCAGAAGAACTAGCAAAAAGGCCCTGTGGCCTGAAGAATGCCGAAGGAATCTGCATTACTTTTTCCCTCCTTTGTCTCATAGAATTGACACAAGTGTGGGCCCTATTTGTCAAATAACAAATGTAGCAGCAATACCTTGTATGGGATATCCTAGCCAATGCAGTAAAGTAATGAAAGATTGGAAAGTAAAAGTTTACTTAACTTTGTCTACTCATAATGATATGATATGACTTGATATGATTTTTCCATTAAAAATTTGATGTTTTTTTCACAAAAAGTCTTACAAATAGTGAGATTACCAAGGTTGTATGATACAGTGTCAATATACACAAATAAATTTCATTTATGTATACTAGCAAAGAACATTTGAAGATAGCATTTACAGCAGGATCAAAGAAACATGATATACTTATGCATAAATCTAAAAAAAGTGCATAATGTATGCTAAAAATTATAAAACAATGATGAAAATGCAATTAAAGAATGTATAAATAAGGAGATAATTAAACCATGTTCATGAATTAGAAGACCTAATAATGGGATGTCAAATATCTTCAATTGATATATACAGGCAATATAATATGTGTTCACCTTTATGTATAATAAAAATATCAACAGAATTCTTATGAACATTAGCAAGCTGATTCAAAATATTTATGGAAATTCAAAAAACACAGAAGAGTTAAAATCATTTTGAAAAAAGAATAATATTAGAGGACTCATACTATCTGATTTAAATACTTACTATCGCAAGAACAAAAAACCAAACACCGCATATTCTCACTCATAGGTGGGAATTGAACAATGAGATCACATGGACACAGGAAGGGGAATATCACACTCTGGGGACCGTGGTGGGGTTGGGGGAGGGGGGAGGGATAGCATTGGGAGATATACCTAATGCTAGATGACACGTTAGTGGGTGCAGCACACCAGCATGGCACATGTATACATATGTAACTAACCTGCACAATGTGCACATGTACCCTAAAACTTAAAGTATAATTAAAAAAAAAGTAAATAAATCTAAAAAAAAAATAAATAAATAAATAAAAAATAAATAAATACTTACTATAAAACTAAAACCACTAATCATGGCAAAAGTCTGGACATACAGATCAATGAAACAGGATACAGAATTAAAATGCTGACTTATAAGTATGGTCAGTTTGTATTTCATAAAAGTGCAAGAGAAACTCAATGGAGAAAATATTGTCTTGTAAACAAATAGTTCTGGATAAACTGGTTGTTCACACACAATGTTTTAAAAGTACTGTCATATTCCTTGCATGCAAATATTTAAAAATTAACTCATAATGCATTAGTGACAAACATGAAACCTAAAATTATAAACATACTAGAAGACAATCATCATACAATTAAATTAGTCAAAATATTCTTAGATATAACATCAAAAGTAGAATTCATACCATAAAAATTCAGGTTAACTGTACTTCATCATAATTAAGCCCTTTGAAAGATTTCATTAAGAAATAAAAAGACAAGCTAAAACTTGGAGAAAATAGTTGGAAATAAATATGTAAAGTACTTGTTTTCTGTAGATATATAAAATAATCTTTTTAAAATTAATTTTTACTCTTCTGATTTTTTTTCGCATTTCCATAAATATTTTGAATCAGCTTCTTAATGTTCACAAAAATTCTGCTGATATATTTATTGGGATAATTTTATTAAACATAAAGGTAAGCCAATATTGCACTGACTCAATACATCAATTGAAGATATTTAACATCATCCCATCATTTGGTGCTTCAATTCATGAACATGGTTTAATTCTCTATTTATATATTATTTGATTGCATTTTCATCGTTGTTTTGTAATTTTTAGCATACATTATGCACATATTTTGTTAGGATCATATATAGGAATATCATGTTTCTTTGGTTCTGTTGTAAATAGGATGTAGATATGTTTCTTTGGTCATATATGTATATATGTGTGTATATATATGTGTGTATATATATATAATTTTAAAACTCAATATATAAACAAATAACAACTATGTTTTTAGTAGGCAAAAGATTTGAACATACATTTTACCAAAGAAGGTATACAGATGGCAACAAAGCACATGCAGAGATACTCAACATTATTAGCCATTAGGGAAATGCAAAACGAAACCTCAGTGAGATACCAATATCATTCCATTTACATAAATAAAAGTAAATAAGACAAAATAAATTTATACTGACATAACAACCTAAGTGCCTCTGAAAATTTGGAGCAAATGTGGCTCTTCTGTGTTTCTGGTTGGAATAAAAAATGATACAGCTGCTTTGGACAGAAGCATACAGCATCTTTTAAAGGTAAACATTAAATTAAACACATGATCTAGCAATACTACTCCTAATTTTTTATCCAACAGAAATGAAGACAGAAAAATCTGAACACAAATGTTTATAGCTCCTTTATAATACCAAAAACTTTAAAAATCTAAACATCCTTCTACTTTTAAATAGGCAAACTATGGTATAGTCATAAAAAGGAATACTACTCAACAGTGAAGAGGGATAAAATATTGCTCAGAACAAGGTGGATGAATCTCAGATGCTTTATGCTAAGTAAAAGTGGCCAATCTTATGAGTACACACTGTGTAATTCTATATGTATAAAACATACTGGAAAAGGCAAAATTATAGGAGGAGGAAACAGACCAGTTGTTGTCAGAGGTTTGAGGTAGAAGGTGGATTGATCACAAAGGTGCAGCACAGGGAATTTTTTGAGTGCTAGAACCATTCTCTTTCTTGATAGTGGCGGTGAAAACTGTATGTAATTGTCAAAACTCAAATAACTGTGCACTAAAAAGACAAAACTTTACTATATAAACCTAAGCCTATTCTTTCTTTAATTTAATAATTTAAAACAGAGTCCATTTCTTTTTCCCAGAGATCCTATTTGCTTTCAAGTCAGTTTTAAAAAATATTTTTCTAAGAATGTATATATTTTTATACTTTTATACTTTTAATTTTGTTTCATCTGATGTCTTTTTCATCTTCTGTCCTTAATATTATTTAAAATGTGCCTCACACATTAAGCATTTTTTCATTGTTTTAGGCTTTGCAATGTATTATAATAATGGATTTAGAAATTTTAACCATTCTTGTAATTCTAGTATAAAATCTAAAAACATTATTAGTTTATGGAAGTTTTACATGAGTATACTCTTGGATTTACTTTGTTAATATTACTTGCATAGACCAAATTCATGAGGATTTATACTTATTTTTTCTTCTAAGGGTTTTATAATTTTAGCTCTTCCACTTAGATCTTTAATCAATTTGAGTGAGTATATATATATACATATATATATATACATATATACATATACATATATATATACATATATACATATATATACACACATATATATGAGTTAATTGTTCAATTTTATTCTTTTGCATATAGCTATCCAGTTATCCCAGCATAATTTGTTGAAACAACTGCTCATTTCTCATTGGATGACCTTGGCATCTTTATTAATACTTTCCATTCTTTCACTCGTGACTTTTTAAGTCTTCTCTCTTTTTTGTTTTCTTTTTTTCTTTTTTTTTTTTTTTTTTTTTGGTCAGCCTTGCTAATGATTTGCCTTTTTTTGTTGCTGTTCTAAACAGAAACCAACACTGGATTTGCTGAATTTTTGTATTGTTTTAGTATCCTATACTTATTTTTGAACTAATATGCATTACTTTTTTCTACTGCTTGCTTTGGGTTTACTTTGCTATTTTTCATATAATATTTTAAGATAGAAGATTAGATTATTAACTTGAAATCCTTTTTTTTTAGTATAGGCATTTACAACTACAAATTTCCATATACACACTGCTTTAGCTACATTACGTATATTTTGATATGTTTTCTCTACATTTGCATTCATCTGAAAGTACTTTTCTTTCTGTTTATCAAACTGGATAATCTCAATTGATCTATCCTAAATTTATTTATTGATTCGTTCTTCTATGTGCTCAAATGTGTTATTGAGCCTCTCTAGTGATTTTTACATCATGATTATGATACACTTTAACTTCAGAACTTCTCTTTGGTTCTTTTTTGTATAATTTCAGTCTCTATGTTGATATTCTGTATTTGGTGAGACATAATTCTCATACTTTCTTTTAATCATATTTGAAATAACTTATTTAAAATCTTTGTCTAGTACATTGTTCATCTAGGCTTTTTTAGGGACTATTTGTAGTGACTGCTTTATTCTCTCTGTACACACTTTTTTATTGGTTTTTGTTTTTGTTTTGTTCTGCTTTGCTTGTGTTTTGGTTTTTGTATTAATTTTTTGTTAAAAACTGGAAGCATACAATTAAAAGATATAAATTCTTGAAATTAAACTATCTGACTTTCCCATAGTTTGCTGTTGTTGTTTTTGCTTATTCACTGTCTAATATTAACTAATTCTACAAAGTCTATTCTTTGTTTTGTGTGGCCACTGAAGTCTGCTCAGTTAGATTAGAGGTCAGATAGTGATTGGACAAAGTTTTTCTTCAAAGTCTGGAAACAGTATGTCTCCCAGTCTTTGCTAAGAGACTCTGCTGCATGAATGTTGAGGCACACCTTTAACACTAAGCTAGACAATTAACAACTTCATCTTAGCCTTCACTTAATTCTTGTGCAGAGCCTCAGATCAACCAGAAGTGGGAGCTTAGACCATCCACATGTCTTTCGTGAATATAAGCATAACCCTGGGCATACAAACAGCCTTATGCATGCATATGACCTTCAAGACTACCAGCAATATGTTAGTGCTGTTCAAAGCCTTCCATAGTCATTTGTTCCCCAGAATTTCTTTCTAAGCATTTTTTAGTCTATTGTTTTCCCTAATTGTTATCTACCACTTCAGGAAGCTAGAGTGTGCAACAATTGCCTCAGACTATGATTTTTCACATTTTTCACAAATGTTCCTGGGAAAAATCTGCTGGCATTGGGAACTCTCTTTGATTCCTTGCAAGTGAGATCTTTCAGGGAACCAGAAATGTTAGATAAGGACAATTCTTTGTGATGTAGTGTTGAAGGCATTCTAATTTTCTTTTGTCCCTTCACGTGGCTGCACAGTTTGTGGTCATCACCATGGTTGTTGGCTTTTGTTTTTCGTGGCTATTTCAGACCTTGGAGAAAAACACAGGAATATAATTAGTTAAATGGCTACAAAGCTCACTGTTATTGAGATGTAGTGGGTTTTTTATGTGTATTTTTAATTAATGCTCCATGGATTGCCACAAGTCTTTAGTTAACTAACTGAATTCTGAAAAAGTTGATTCTGCTTTTTTTTTGCCCTTGTTTCTATTGCATTAGTGGAGGGGAAGATTTTTGTGGATCTGTACTTTACCATTTTTATTGATGTCACTACCCCTTTATCTTTACTATAGTTATCAGTTTATTTTTCTGTATCTCCTTTTTATTACCTATATAATGGAAATACCAAGAGTTAAATCCTAGGTGGTTATGAGGCTGAATTGAGAACATATGTAGAATTATTTTTTTTAACCTCTAATAGACAATGAAACAGAACTCTCTTCACTTCCTATTTTGAGGTTTTATTTTTTAATATTATTTTTTAGTGACAGTATAGACATCAGAAGATAAGTGCATGATTGCTTTCTTATTAAGTAACTGATAAAGAAACCTGAATTAAATTGTGAATGGTACATGTGCTAATATATTCTGCCATTTTCCTCCAAACCCAGATATAAAAGTCCACATAGATGTTTCTGGAAGAATTATTCTGAGACTATTTTAGACTCTAGATGATCCTCATCTTTTATTTCTAGGTATCTTTTGTACAACCAGTCATACATGGTTTGTGGTCCTAATAGCCATAATATAACCTGCTTGATTATGATGCATGCAAGCATCTCAATAGTTGCATATAAATAATTTATGAAAAAACAGAGCCTCCCTCCAACGGAAATTTTTAATTTCCCTTTCAGCCTCTTACACGTCACTGCCCACAGATAATTTTTGTTCTTCCCAGAAACCATATGCATGTTCATCATGTAGCCATGTCCCTGGGTAAATATCAAATATTCAGTATGATGGACAAAGGTTTATAAACATATTGATTGTGTCTTCTGTCTCAATCTATAGCGTATTTAACAGTATATACAGACTTTCAGAACTTTTTTTTGAAGACACATCTCCCAAAGAAAATAATTCCCTGCAGAAAACTGAGGTTTGCTCCCTACACCCCCTCGAAAAGAGAAATAAATTATTGCCAAGGACAAGTTACTTTGGGCTCTTTATTTTTTATTTTCTAGTACTCCTAAGTAGAAACAAGTTTTAAAGCCGATATTTACAGCTTTAACTCTGGGGCATACTAACATGTCATTCACTTCTCATTTATTCTTTAAACAATTTCCTCTAATATTTGATTTTAATTTGAAAGGAGAATTGATGCTTTATGACAATGGTACTTAAGTGTGTATGTGTGTGATTGTTTCTGTGTGTTCTATTTATATTTCCCTACGTAATGATTTTCTTAAACAAAACTACACTCCATTTACCACAGTAAACAAGCCAAATAAGACAGTCTCCTTAAAATATAGGGGACCATATTGTTACGCAATTTGGCTATTATAAAAGGAAAGAAACCAGCCAGGCATGGTGGCTCACACCTATAATCCCAACCCTTTGGGAGACTGAGGTGGGCAGATTACCTGAGGACAGAAGTTCAAGACCAACCTGGTCAACGTGGTGAAACCCGTCTCTAGTAAAAATACAAAAATTAGCCAGGTATGGTGGTGGGTGCCTGTATTCCCAGCTACTTGGGAGGCTGAGGCAGGAGAATTGCCTGAAGCCAGGACGCAGAGGTTGTAGTGAGCCGAGATCGCGCCACTGCATTCCAGCCTGGGCAACAAAGTGAGTCTCCATCAAAAAAAAAGGAAGAAACCATCATTTAATATTTGAAACAAAACGTTGAATTAATTTTGTTTCCAGTGCAAGGGAACAGTGAATTTTACGGAATGATTTCTTTGAAAAAGCAAATCGATCATCTCATACCAGATTATGAGAGTCAGCAGTGCAGAGATTAGAGGACGTCAGATGTGATCGTGTTTCGATATTAACTGATGTTTACCAGTGGAGATGGTGACTATATTGTGACTATTACTATATGGCTGGTTTTCAATAAAGTGGGTCTGTGTCTAATTGACTAGCTTTCAGATTATAAGTTTATTATCCAGGAGAACTCTAAAATATGATTATCTTACTGTCAGTATTATCAGTACTCTTGAAAATCTTTTGCCTAATTCTGTTCGGTTCTGTTCTCTGCCCTTGAAGGAACCACTGACAAAACATGCCCAGTATTGAGAGAGTAGGTCTGCTCAAAAATGTCTTCACTTGCCACTTACTAGCCTGCCTCAAACATTAAAAAATAATAATAATCCAGGAGAAATGAAGGCCACTGAATTACTATTATTGTCCATTTAGGTTTGTGAATCATTATGTTGGCTTAGCAAGTCAAGCATGCAAAAAGAAAAACAGGATATTTTGCTTTGGGAGAAATTGGCAAAGGTTATTTTTGAACACTTTTTTTGTTAAGATATATTCATATACATAAATAAAGAAAATATTTATGAGAAGGACTAGAATCAGCATCTTGACTATTCTTAGAGCTGCAATGTTATATAGTGTTTTCCAATAAAGACAGTTATTACCAAAGTAGGAAGTCACCAACTTTAAAATGTTTGTATATTTTAAGAATTCATTTTTACAAATACTTGTTTTTTAAGTTTTAGCTCATTGTTCCATAAAAATCATGGGTGGATTAGTCTTTGGAATTGCAGACAACAGCCAAAAACCTTATTTAAACTCCAGCATACTTGAGGTGCTATAGCAATAACATTATTTCAGTTATTGTTAACCACTATTTGAAAATGGTTTCTGT
Organism: Homo sapiens; assembly: GCF_000001405.40. NCBI lineage: Eukaryota > Metazoa > Chordata > Mammalia > Primates > Hominidae > Homo > Homo sapiens. The sequence goes on from NC_000016.10 coordinate 60,903,647, forward strand.
TTGAAACAGCATTTTGAATTACATATCAAGAAGCCTTCAGAAGCACTGCACAATACTTAGAATTTAATAACCATGAAAAGCACTCCACATCAAAATTTGTGTGATATAGCTAAAGTAGTATTTGGAAAAATGTGAAGTCCTCAATGCAATTGTCAGAAAACAAGAATGAGTGAAAACAAATGAATGTCCACCACCACACGCAGTTGGAAGGAGCATCAACAATGTGAAACTCTCCTTTTTTTTTTGTAATAATCAGAGAAGTTGGGAAGGGGTTCCAATGAGGGAAGCAGTCAGTTATAACAAAGCCTAAACTTTCTTTTTAATATGTCTATCCCAGTGGACCCCAAACTTACTGGAAAATAGAGCGTTCTTTACTCTAACCTGAAATACTGAATGTGTTGAATTAGGCTGGGTCTGTGATACTCCATTTTAGCAAGCAACTTAGATGATTGGGACACAAACAATAAGAAATGTTGTGTGTAATTATGTGACCATGAATATCTATTGGCTGATTATGTATACGATGCTCTGAGCTGAGAAAAAAAAAAGGAAATTGGGATAGTTGGCAAGCTTTCTTATCACAAAATAACATACACATTTTGCTTTTGTCCTAAATTCAACAAATGTTAGGTAGACACTGCTTATTGTTTAGTTTGTTATGCCTGAATTTTTGGCTTCCCAGGACTCACATAAAACAGATTTAGTAGATTTTTTAGAATTAGCATGCCATTTTGAATAATATCTTGGTGACCAGGTGACAAATAGAAATGGTATTAAGATATCAGACATTTTTATCACCCCACCACTTTCCAACAATGTTAACAAAAGGGAATAACAAAGATCAATTCTGACCCTGGTTTTGTATCTAAATTTTATCCAAATTTATATCTATTGACTCACCAAGTAATATTCCTCAGTATAAGAGGTGCAATCATTTTGAATTTTTATATCAGAAGTAATGTTAACAGAGAGAATGAACATTGAGCATGTCCCCAACAAATTAGAATGCAAAGTGAATTTTCTGTTCTGAATGTATAAAAACCTGTCAGACCTTTTGTTTGAGGAAAAAAATCAAGTTGTTGGAAAGCTTTAATTTTGTCTGTAAAGCCTGAAACAGAACTAGTTGGACTGAATTCTAAAGGCCTTTTATTCTTTTATATATGAACAATTATCATCAGCAGTTAAACAAATTATGCTTAATAAAATATTATACAATAAGACTCTAACTTTGAAGCTAACATAATGTAATTAAATATTATACTGAAATTATTAATAGCTTATGAATTATTTTGAAACCACTAATCCTGTTTTTGTTGTTGTTTCTTTTTTAACTCATTTCTGTAAGAAACTTCCAAACAGTTAACTTAAATGCTGTTTCCTGGAACTTAAATGATGTCTTCCTTATGGTTTCATTTCTGTTTAAAAACTTACAGGGCAATACACTTTAGTGATTCCATTTGAAGGTGTATACTAGGAGATTCGGAATTCTAGCTAATACTTATTGAAGTTGGGGAAAAATTTCTTTTTTAAAAATTATATCTGATTAATTGAACATTTTACTTTGGGGCATGAATACCAAAGAAAGAATGTCTTGGACCACTTTTCTGTCTTGGAAAGATAGTTATAGAGAATTGACTAACTCCAAGATATTCCAGAGTATGCACAGATTCACACGGGCTCTCAGCCTCACCATACAGAGTCCTACCACTTACCCAACCACTAGCCACCTACCCAGGCTTTTGTTTATCAGGCTTAGACTCCTCTGTTTTCTAAATACTGAGAATTAATTTTATTTCTTACCAGGAAGATTGCATAGTTTTGATGAAATAATGTTGACTCTTGGAAATGAATTTTTGAAACTCTTGGTACACCTCCCCCAAGCAATTATAGCCAGAATTTCATCAGCAGAACTCTCAGATCCCATTAGCAGTAAATGATCTTTTTTGTAGTTATTTCTCTGGTCGAAGATAATTTGATTATAGTGACTAGAATCCAGCTTAATTGTGTTTACCAATCTGTTTGCTGCAACTGATAAACCAAAGAATATAATGCTGACAGAAATATATCAGCACAAGTTATAAGAAGCCAAGGTACCATACCCCCAGTCTTAGCTGTTTTCCTTTCCTCTTAATAGAAGAGGAAAATGCACTAATACAGAGTAAGCCTCAGTTGATCTCTGAACATGTTACAGAGCTTTAGTTCACCACACATCATGCACATCGTATCGGATCACATTCATTGCCACTTCTTGAGGTGGATTAGTATTTACACATGAATTAGCAATTAGAATTGGAAGGAGAGGAACTGAGCCTGAGACCAGCTTTCTGAGGACTGCTAATAGATAAGCTTTCCTACAGCTTTCTTAGTCATCCAGAAACGTTGAACAATAGCAAGCATAGCATCTGAGGCTCCCCTCCTCTCCAATTAAAGTTTTGGCCCTTTTAAGTCTGACTCATTAAGAAAAAATGGCTCAAATTGGCCTGATGCATTTTACATTGGTTATTGTATCGTAACCTGACACAACTGCTGCCAACCATAGGGAAAAATGCAAGTCTCAGAAGTTAAGGAGACATTAGTTGATCTGTAATTAATGTCTAAAAATAAATAAGTAAAAATGGAATTCAATAAATGTTCTTACTATGGGGAAAACGGTAATAATTCAACATACTACCAAACATGAAAAACACTATCCAGATATAAGCTTTAAAATATTTATTCCTTCATATTTGGAATGGAAGAAGAGCCTAAAATTAAGATTTCAGATTATATTTGAGGCAGTAGAAATTTATGTAGTTATACAGCAACATTTGTTTTATTTCTTTTTCTTTCTTTCCTTCTTTCCTTTCTTCCTTCTTTCTTTCTTTCTTCTTTTTCTTTCTTTTCTTTTCTTTTTTTCTTTTTTTTTTTTTTTGATGGAGTCTGGCTCTGTTGCCCATGCTGCAGTGCAGTGGTGCAATCTGGGCTCACTGCAACCTCTGCCTCCTGAGTTCAAGTGATTCTCCTGCCTCAGCCTCCCTAATAGCTGGGATTACAGATGCCCACCACCACACCCAGCTTATTTTTAGTAGAGATGGGGTTTCACCATGTTGGCCAAGCTGGTCTCGAACTCCTGACCTCAGGTGATCCACCCGTCTCAGCCTCCCAAAGTGCTGAGATTACATAAGTTTTTTTTTTTTTTTAGCCTTTTTACCCAAAACCTGGCACCTGGTTCCAAAGCAGTAATCTTCTTAAAAAAATTTTCTAGGCTCACAGATCTGGGTGTAAAATGTGGTTCTACTAATTTTTTGTCATATGGCTTGGGCCAAATGTCGTGTGGGTTTTTAATCATTCACGCACAGGTGTCTATCTTCCTCATATTTTTCATGGCAAGTTAAGCAATATTATGTACCTTATATATTTCCTGGCCCGATTAGACATCATACTGAATTTGTAGGTGATTAGCATCATGCCTAACACATACAAGATACCCATACACATTAATTTTTCAATCTTCCTCTGTCCTCCCCTCCTTCTTCCAATTTAACATCCAAAAGTAAGTCAAAAATTGTTCTATAAATTTGGTTTAGTTTATTTATGGCATTAGTAAATGGAAAATCTTTCATTTTCACTAATAGTTATTTCTCATCTTTCTCCCAAATATTATCTATTCATAGTTGCTGAACGGGTTACTAATCTGTATTTATTGTCATGTAAACAAATATTGATTGTCACAACATATGTTAAAATAAAGTTTTTCACTCAGAGATGTAAGTACAGTCATATATTCAGAGGAAGTTTATATTTTCCTGACTGTTAAGATTATCAGATGACTTGTACATCTAGCTAGAGGTGGGCAGCAAACATGATATTATTTTTTTTAAAAGTCTTGTTTAAGAGATTAATACATAATGAGGATTTATAAACAGCATTTTTTATACCTTGATAAAAATGTATTTATGGTAACACTGGCATGAATGCTACGGTACCTATCATGAGAATATGATCAATAATTACATGGTCATACGGGATAAGACCCTGTGCTAGATTCTCACAGCCACCTACCTATGAGTCGGGCATTGCATCAATTTTAAGATGAAAAAACATTTCTGTAAATTTAGTGTATTGATATCACAACTGAAGTAGGTAGAAGAGTTCAGGGATAAAAGTCAAGTTTGTCTAATTCCATAGGCTATACCCTTTTGACTGAATCATACTGCCTTCTACTGGTAGAAGAATATCGCTTTACTTAAATCTTAAAGGAAGGGGGCTGTGTTCTGCTACCATTATATTCCTGCAGCCTAGCATAGTTCCAGACATATATGAAATATCTCCACTATTTTTTGTGTTTCAATGGCTAACTAAATGAATGCACCATTTCATCTCTTGCATTTTGCATAAGGTCATAAGGTCTCGTATGTCTTAAATGATCAATAACTGTGCTCTGAAATTTGAATTATAATAAAAATAAGCTATCAATTCAGAACATCAATTGTTAATGTATGTGTAGAAGTCTTATAACAGTACACAAGGAAAAGACAACTGGTCAGATTCTGGTCCAGTTTTCTGCCCATTGCAGACATGTTCCTCCCTGCCATGTGTCAGATGGAAGTTTCCAGGAAAACCTGGGAAGTACCAGGACAGGGATTATACTGCCTTCTGGAGCAGAAGTTCATGGTTTCTTTCTATTTGGACTATCTCTTTGGCATATATTTCAATAATTAATAATTATAAGGGCTACTCCAAACTTGCAAAACAGTCTTTTTTTCCTACTGAGAATCGTATGCAATGATTCTGTTTATATTCATTTTTTCCATTTATCATGTATTTTATTATTACATACCAATAAAATCTTAAGGGCAGCTCATACTGAAACACTTTTCTCTTTTTGACTGGCTAAACATCTTTAAATTTTTAATAATGTGATGTTTACTAAAAATGTGCCAATGGGCCTAAATAGATTTGAGTAAAATTGATCTGTAGACAACTGCTAACTTAAAAGCACAGAAAACATTTCCATCACCCACCCTTCTCAGTTTTGAAAGTTTCTAAATCATCACAGAGTGGATTTGAGAACAGCAAGAATATATTATTTTTAAAAATGTATTCATTTCATGGAAAATTCACAAGACATCTAGCATCTTTATTTACATGTTTTAAACTTCAACATTTAATTTTAACTTTCACTGAGTTCTGTTTATGTTACAGAAACTACTTAGTGATAAAAATTTAGGGAAATATAAAATAAAGTTTCTGCTTTCAAAGATCTCAGTCTGTTTTGACAAATACATATAAGTATATTACAAAAGCATCTGAAAAAGGTTATAATAGTGAGTGCTATACGAAGACTGAGTTATTCACCCTGGCTATAGGTAATCTTGGAATATTTAATAATAACATTATCAGCATTATGATTTTTTAGATATTTAATTAACTGTTTTATGCTCCTTCATTTTTCATTTTGTTTCATTTGTCATCTTTTTCCCCTGTCATATATTTTCTCCTGTCTTTTCAAGCTCTTTTTCCTCTAATTCTACTACATTACTTATCCTTTTTAAGCATTAAGAAAATGATAATAGTTATAGTACATACAGCAAAGTGATGAGAAAAGAACTAGAATGTAAGAATTTGCTACGTATCAGACACGGTGCTAATTCCTTTACATGCATTTCTCATTTCAGTCTCAGAATTAGAGATGATTACTGTCTACATCGTTCAGATGAGGAGACAGGCACAGATTGCCACACGTCACATGTCAGACTATGCCTTGCACAGTCCTAGGCAATGTCAAGGTTAAGATGTGCAATAATGTCACCCTGGCCACTCTTCCATTCTCCCTCCCAAGGCAGATATGATCATCAACCACAATATATAAAACTGAGTGAAGTGTTTTGGCGCAGTCTATGAGACAAAGTTTGCCCAGATGCAGATGCTGGCTCCAAAGCTCACAAAGTGTGGGCCATAGGCATTGCCAGGTTAGGCAATTTGCCCTAGGTTCCACATCTGAAAAATGAAGAGTAGTAATAACAACTACTCCGGAGGCTGGTTAAGACGATTAAATTAAAGGGTTTAATATGTGTAAAACAATTACAGTGTCTGTCACACCATGAACACTTTAGAGTGGTGTGCTAGTAAATGTTTAACAACTGGCTCTGGGAGAGTAAGAAGGGGAAGGTCTTTAATTTGGAGTATTTGCTGATTTTTGTTGTGGAAATACTTCTGCCATAGACGGTTTCCAGCTTCCATGCAGCATCACCAAAAACGGTGTTGGAAAGAATTGCACAGTAGTATTTGGAACACAGGTTTTTACTATATAGATACGATAGACATTTGAGAGCACAGCTATCATTAAAATGTAATAAAAGAATTAAAAATAAATTTGGCCAGGCGCGGTGGCTCACGCCTATAATCCCAGCACTTTGGGAGGCTGAGGCGGGCGGATCACGAGGTCAGGAGATCGAGACCATCCTGGCTAACATGGTGAAACCCCGTCTCTACTAAAAATGCAAAAAAAACTAGCCGGGCATGGTGGCGGGCACCTGTAGTCCCAGCTACTCGGGAGGCTGAGGCAGGAGAATGGTGTGAACCCAGGTGGTGGAGCTTGCAGTGAGCCGAGGTCGCCCCACTGCACTCCAGCCTGAGCGACAGAGCGAGACTCCATCTCAAAAAAAAAAAAAAAAAAAAATTCAAAGAGTTAAAATTAAGAAACACTTCACCTTCTTTGGTATGATTTAGTTATATATTTATTTAATCACATGCAATATAAAATAATTGATATTTTATTTACAAAATTGTTTAATAATTTATATTATTCTTATTTTTCTTTATTTAAAAATAATTTATAATTGTTTATTTTAATTGAATTTCATAAAGTTTATTTTTTCTGTGGTGTTGTGTTTAACATTCAGGTCACATAATTCCTAATTATACAACTACTTTCTCTTGCAAGTTTATACAAACAAGCTCCAAGATACCACTGGTACTATAATATATCAAATTTTATTTTAAACAATAGATACATAAACAAGTGTTGATATAGGTTTAGCAGGGTTCTCAATAGAGCACACTCTCTTACCAATGGATCAAAATTTTCAAAGCAGATGAAGACATGATTTTCCAATCCTGGTTTATGGAGTTATTGATGACTCATGTAAGTTATTTAACTTAAAATAATTAGCCCTATGAGAGAGATTAAAACATAGTAACAGAAATTAGGTAAATATCACCGAGCTAGTCAGAGATTATATTTGAACCGATATCCCCTACATCAAAGAGTATGATTGGGATTTTTTTTAACTATTCCAACCTACCTCAAGAAATAAGAACAAGGACAGAAATATATGCTTAGATGCAGGAGCTATTTTATAAAACCCAAAGTTAGTGCTGCAGTCTGACACAACTAGATAGGAAATAAGCTGTTACCTTTAAAAAATCTGGGCAGCCACAAGCACAATCTAAACTATTTAGTGGTTTTAAAATAAAGGTAATTTGGTTGCTCCATTAATTTGCAGCAGAAATACCAAACTATTTTGAAAAGCTGAACAATTAGAGGAGGGGTGAAAGCTGATAGTCAAGCTACAGTCTCTCCCAAAAATTAATATAATTTTTAAAAAGGAAACAACTTTATATTTCCTTAACTTATTGCATTCCTTTTCTTATCTACAAAGTTTCAGACTTAAATAAATTAGTATTGCTCAAAGTTCAGTAAAATAAGCTAAATAAGTTTATTCAACATCTTTGTAAAATATCTAATATGGTTTGTCTGTGTCCCCACCCAAATCTCATCTTTAGCTTTAGCTCCCATAATCCCCACTTGTTATGAGAGAACCCTTTGGGAGCTAATTGAATCATGGGGGTGGGTTTTTCCTATGCTGTTTTCATGATAGTGAATAAGACTCATGAGATCTGATGGGCAGTTCCCCTGCACATGCTCTCCTGCCTGCCACCATGGAAGATGTGCCTTTGCTCCTGCTTCGCCTTCCACCTTGATTGTGAGACCTCCTTAGCCACATGGAACTGTGAGTCTATTAAACCTATTTTTCTTTATAAATTATCCAGTCTTGAGCATATCTTTATTAGCAGCTTGAGAATAGACTGATACAATAACCTTTTTTGTCCATCCCCATAGAGTCACAAGTCAGGTTGCCAGAGAGGCTAGCTCCAAAATGAGATTTGGTATTCAGGGTGTTATTAAGGCATTAAAGTTGGAATCAACACCAGTGGAAGAGAGGAGACGGTAGTGGGAGTGGGCAGAGGGAGAAGTCAAGCTCTGATGCACCCAGATTAGCAGCTGGATCCATCCCCAAAGCAAGCTCAAGAGCTAGAATGGCCCTTCAGAGCTGCCTCAGATTGGACCAAGATAGTCAACTCGTTGTACAAGCTCATTGATCTGTTATGGAATGCAGGACCGGATCAAGCTGATTCTCTGCAGCAAAAGCAATCTGTAAGGGAGTGATAGTGTAAGATGCTGGCTTATAAAACCCCAAAACAGGGGCCCAGGTTCTTCAGCGAAGGGTATCTGGGTGGCACATCACAGTGTCCACCACACAGCATCCCCTGTCATCATAGTTAAAAAACTTTACATTGGCCTTTGGGAGACCCTTTAACCCAACTGTACCTTTCATGGCCTAACTTGTTTTCCACTCTTCCTCCAACAGCGTCCATTCCCCATCCTGCTGTTTGTTTTGTTGTCTCCCTGTTTCCCTAGTCTTTTTTCTTCTTTCTGGTCTTCCCTCATCTCGTCTGAGCAAATATTAATCTAAAGATGTGTACCTGATTTGTCTGGTTCACTGTGATTTCTAAAACATTAGTGTAGAATTGCAGTCTATATTTTCAAGGATATTAGATATGTATACATAAAATCACAAATGACAGAAACTGCCTTTTTAAGGTGATTTCATTGACTTAATGATGGTAAAAAAATGGCCATGACATTTCATACAATATTATCAGTAAATATTTAAATATGTATGTACATATATATATATATATTCAGTATTAATTTTAAGTATACAACTATTGTTGGGTAAGGTTAGATTCTAAGTAATTTTCATGAATAAAAACCCCACAATGTTGTATACCTTCCTTGCATCATAAGCGTCTTCTAGAACAGTACAAGGCACACAGAAAAAATTAAAACAATTTCCTGTTACATTTATCAAGTTTCTATTAGGACTATAAAGTGACACACAACTGAGACCCTGTATGTTCACATGAATAGACTCCCATGCAGTAGAAACTCTAGGATGATTTTCTGATTGTTTTCTTAACAGTCAGTGAACTCAGAAGAGATCACCCACTGGGTCACCTTCTGAGGATTTTAGCAGGAGAGAATATTTCTCAAAGAGAGAGTGTCAAAAGAATTTCATATATATTAGTGGCGATTTTTTTTTAGAAGAAATAGACTTGTAGTCCTGTGAATTCTGTAATGACAGCATTTGCTCATACTGCTAGTAGGGGATTAAATGTCACTTTCCCCTGGGAAGTGTCTTTAGTGTATTTCAGTATGCAGCACATCCCCAACTAGGAAGGTTTTCAGGAGGTGACAGTGCTCTGAAATTTGCTCACTCTCTTACACTCCTTTAACACAAACCAAATTCTGACAAAATGTGGAGAAAAGGGAAGAAAAAAGGAAAAGTTTTAACAATTTGTTCAATTCCAGAGTGTAAAGTATTTACTACCCCCATTATTTTCTTGACAAGCCTGGTATGTGGACAATGCCAGGTACAGTTTTTGGTACATTTTTATCATATCAATCATACCAGGTTTCAAACAGTATGATAAAAATGTACCAAAAGATGACTTCTCTTCTAAAAATGGAATATTAAGAAAATGTAAATTAACTAATAATGAAAGAAAATCTCTTTTTGGCATATTTTAACAATAAGAATTCCCTACCTTTTAAAATATTTTGAAATGTGATTGTCCATATTTATTCTATATGAGTACTTTGCTTTAGGAAAACGTGTTTACCTTGTCACCAGAGACATTTTTAATATTGCTCATGAGTGTTGGAGTTGAGCAAATATAAAAGATGAATTTCTGAATGGCTGCAATTCTTTTCTAAATGTATATAAAAATTGTTTTGTGCTTATAACATTATAAGTTTCTTTTTGTGTTTTAAAAGTTTCGAATATTTTCTGAAGAAGCCACTGATATGGAATAGTCTATGATAAAAACAAAACAAGATAAAAAAGATTAAAATGAAAATAATTCCATAGTCCAATGCTGCAATTTTCAAATGTAATTAAATATGACAAACATGAATCTACATTGCAACACTTTTCTCCTCTCTATAGAACCTTAAATTAGTATCCTTAGGAAAACTTGGTTAAGAATAATACATTTTTGTTTAAATATATTATGCCTAATACATTTTACTTGTCATTTACATTCAAAAGAATTGTTGTGTTGTGGGAGAAATTATAATTCAGATGATAAATTTTTGGATTTCTTCTTTTTATAGCACCTAAATTATGCATAGTTCTGTCAATACAATCCATCACATGATGATATGTAAGAAATAATGTTTCAATATACAGCAAAAAATTATGTGTCTGTTCAATTTGATTATACAAAGAACTGAAGCTCCTTGGGGGAACATTTTTTAGTATCAGCTCGATAGTTTACCATCTAGTTCTGAATTTGAAATAAGGTTTTATAGAAATTAAGAAATAAATAGTTTTGTAGGGTTTTTAAAATCCTAATTCAGTAGATGGTGACAAAGTTGCTTTAAAATGTATGAACTAAACTTGGAGAAAGTCAGCACCATTAAAATAGAGGAATGATTCATTTTCTCATGGCAAATATATTAAATGCATAAAGAATAAACAAGCTTAATTTGATTACATGTACTACTCTTTGAAGGAGAACCGCAAAGACGTTTTAAGACGTAAATGCATATTTATTTTTTGCTGACTGGATATTAACCACAAGTTAATGTTTTAAAAGATTTATTTGAGTAAAGAAAGTTATGCATATTCAATTTTAGTACTATTTTCCTATTTATGCCACAGATTTTAAAACCAACAAATTTGGAGAATCCCAAAAGATAATTTGGAAATACATGTGAGTTTTTATTTGTATGAACAAAATATAAGCAACCTAGAATTTTTCAGTTTTTCTTCAACAGATCTGAAACCCAGCGGTCCTGTAATTCCTTTATTGAAAGAGCTATTGAGACTGGCATACATTAAGCTCCAGTTGGGTTCTTGTTTACCAATCTACTCTAATTATTTTAAAATAAAGTATAAAAAGGATGTTAAATAATTTGCAGAAATTCTGGAAGACCCCGAAAGCCAGGCTTAGAAGGCATTAGGTCAGAAGAAAACAATAACACATCATAAGCAAGGAATTCTGGCAAGGAATTAAATTATGAGATTGAACCAAACTTATATAACCTACCCCTAAATACGTTAGTACATATAATAAACACACTTTTGGTTATGATGAATTTCCTTTGCAAAACATAGAGGGATGGAGCTATATTTATAGAGAAACAGTGAAAGTTTAATTAGACAAAGATTGCAGGTGCAAGTCATGAGTGTTTTTATATCAGACACATTTCTGTATATTGGATTTGTGAAGTTAGATATATGATTCTTTATTACAATAAAATTAGCAATAAATATAGTATCTGACAAATCTCATGAAGTTCCAAAATATCCTCCTCTAAAAACTATAATAGCAATCGTAGTAATTGAAATTACCATTTACTGACAACTTACTATGTACTGTTTGTTCTTAGTTGATTTATGGGCCAATAATTTGTATTAGGAAAAAATAGAAAGTGAGAAGGGAGGCTTGAGCTTGGAAGATATATCCAGCTTGAAAACATAATATATTATGTCTGATGGAATGCACAACAGTTCATTTCAAATATTTATAACTTCAGTGTCAAACCAGACCAGGTTTCAAATCCTGGCTCTAACATTTATTAGCTATTAAACGAAGTTTACTTATTGGATTGAGCCCTGGTTTTCACAACTAATAATGGAAACAATACCTCCCTTACTGTGATTTTATACAATTTAATATAAACGCTAAAATGAGTTAACACGATGTTAGGAAGGGCCATCATTAGTATTACACTTAAAGAAGGAGCAATGATTAAGCAGACAAAAGTTTCACATTAACCCAATCAGACCTAGACATGCTTCCCTGTAAATCATTATTTGAGTTATGATGATTAAATTAGTATGCATGTCTGGATTCTGATTTTGAAGAATGCTTTCTACCCAGAATAGTTGGGAAAGTCTAACACAAATAAAAGACATATGCTGTATAAACGTATGTCAGGATAGATTGGTATATAGCTAACATTTTGATAAAGGAGGCATAACTGGAAAAGCTGGAGGGTTTAAATTACCTATCGTTTTTCTGAGTTAGAATGATCATTACTGAGGTGGGAAGATTACTGTTAGTGTAGAGATAGATGAATATACTGATATTTGGGAGATACTACTTGGTTTTGCTCAAGTCACACAACCAATACATGAAAAAAAACACAATTATTGGCTTGAACTCTAGTTTCTATTATTTCAGCATCCATATTCTTTACTATCAGTGGAGGCATTTTCAAACTGTGTTGGTTGGACTGCTTAAGGATATGCTGTAGGGAGTAAGGTAAGGTCCTGATGAACAATGTGTTGCATGTACATCAAAGTTATGTCCTAGGCTGGGATCCCCTAGAATTGGATTGTGAGACAAGGATGAAAATGCAAATCATTTGTTAATTTATTTGCAAGATGTTTCCAGGAGCACTTGTAGGGAAATGGTGAAGTAAGGGAAATGAAGAAAACTAATAGAATGCTTGTAAGCGAGTGGCTTACCACTGTTGACAATGGCCTCATTTCAGCAGGAGAACTCTACAAAACAACATGAAACACACCTCAGAATTCTACCACTCAAGGATTGAAGGGTATCTGCTAGAGCTTCAATGGAGGACTTGTTCTTTATTCATACTGATGAAAATTAAAAGACCTATTTCTAAAAATATGCCTGGAAAACTTACTGAAATAACTATTATTTGCATAGGATATACATGCACTAGATACTTAATGTTGGCCAATTTAATAAGTTAACCGAATTATAATCAATAGAATCTAACCACCAGGCTGTCCTGTTAGTTGGCCATTGCTCTGCTATGTGGAGCTTGGTTCTGATTTCAGGGCTCTAGCCTTTGGCCTCTTTTATGACTCTTCACTCTGTCAACAATTGGCTTTAATTTTTGGCTCTGTCTCATCCTGTCATCCTAATACTTGCTACAACAATATTCTGGGGACATTGGGTGAAATTGAAAGGAATAAACTTGCTGGATTAGGGAGTGAGGTAGAGGACAGACTCCTGAAATGCATGATATTCTATAACAAGAATGTTCTCATACTGGACTGTAACCTCAAGGGAAGCGTGTTAGAGTAATAAGTGGTGTGTGCATGTGTGTGTGTGTGTGTGTGTGTGTGTGCGCGTGTGTGTGTGATGTCTATAAGCCCTTCTTTTAACATCTTACTCTGCCCCTCTGGCACCAGATTGCCCCATTTTCCCAAATATCATATTCTCAAAAAGTGATAGGCAAAAATTAGGTAATTAATCTTTCAGAAAACAGATAAACTGTGGCATGGCCATAGGGAGGAAGTTGGGGAGACAGGTTGATTTGAGAACAATGCATCTTTCTACCAGTTCTTACCACTTACCTACATTTGAGCATGTGAGTGATTTGGGGTGGGGGGTGTGGGGTGATGGTTAATTGAAAGCATTCTTGTCAGTGGGATTTTGGTACTAAGGATATTTTAGATCCTTGTACTTCCTAGCTGTTTTTAACTTGGATAAATCATTTAACACCTCTGAATTTATTCATAGTACTTGTTAATAATATCTAGTTTGAACATTTATCCAAAATTTTGGCATCTTTTTTCCAAATATCTTCCCAGTTCCTGTTACTATAATCTGTTACCTGAACTATGTAATAAACATTTGTCATTCTGCCTACTCCCTAGCACCATGGTGGGGAACTGCCAGAGTAATTTAAAAATATATTAGTGACATCATATAATTCTTCTGCACATCTCAGAACAGAATCAAGACTCCCATCCATAGCCTACAGGGTCCCGCCTGTTCTAGTGAAGGGTGGGCATTCTGACCTCATCTCCATAGGCTTGCTTCACAGCCCCAGTCACATTACTTTCCTGATCTTTCCATTAACATGCCAAACACAATCCCATCTCAGAGTGTCTTTAAGCTTTTTTTTTCTTCTTCTTCCTGGAACACTCCTCTCCAGATATCTGTAAGGGGCATACCCTACTTCATTCAGGTCTCTGCTCAGATGTCACCTGATCATAGAGAACTTCAGGACTAACTTATTGAAAAGAACACCCATCACTTTTTATACGTTTACTATGCTTTATTTTTCTTTATATCATTTACTTATTTTCTAGTGTTTTGTCGAATTTCTTTCCACACAAAAAAATTAAAATGTATGAGTGTGGAACATGTTTCTTGTTTTCTGCTACATTTTGCTTATTGAATGAATAGAATTTATGTGTGTATGTGAGGATTAAACAGAATAATCATGTAAAAATACTACCACGGTGACTGTTGCTAAATTTAAATTATACCTGTTATTTTGTCTATTGGTTTGTTTAAAGCAGGGTTCAGCGCTACATTCCATGGGCAATAGCTGGCACCTTCCTTGATTTTATAGATAATGTCATTGAAATACAACCACACCTATTTTTTAATGTAGTGTCTATGACTGCTTTCCTATTACAATGGCAGAATTGAATCATTATGAGGGATTATATAGCCTGCAAAGACTAAAATATTTACTATCTGGCCATCATATAAAAAAACTTGCTTTTTTATCTGGCATGAATGAAATACATAAATGGACTGGCTGAATGAAAAGAGTGAATGAATAAATCTCACACATATATGGATGATGATTACAGCAATTTGTACCGTCCCCCATTTGACAATTTGGTATTGGATTCTAAGTGAGCCAACTTCCCAATTTTAACAAAATGTGAGGGGCTATCTCTTGTATACCAAAAAATGAGATGCTTAAACTAGTTGAATGCTGAGGCCCAGAAGCTGAAGATTTGCCAAAGGTCACCCAGCAGGTCAGGTGAAAAACTGAGGCAAGCTTTAAATCTCTTCATATTTGACCCATTTCTTTCTCAATTACATATCTAGGTATCACTGACAAAAATTAAACCACTTCAGCACTTTTCTTAGAAGTTGATTAAAGCCTACTTTGCTGTTATTGTCAATTGTTCTTGGCAATTCTCTCCTCAGTTAGTAAAATGGATATTTTAAAGAGAAGTTTAATTCTTAAATGCTATCTTTGATGAAATAAAAATTGTGCTTTCATAGCTGAGTTCTTGTAAATGAGGATGATATTTTTGTGTCTTCCTGAGATAGTCTACCCACTGGAAAGGATCCCCTGCCCTCTCTCAGGTTAGGCTGATGTTTGAGTAATTTTTGTTCCTCCTAAGCAAAATAATGCAGATGTTTGTTCTTGTCTAGCATGATGAAGAAAAATCAGTGTCACTATATAAGTGAAATATGTTTAATTTAAAAAGGAGTATTTGGAGAGGGATCAGGAAGCTGGCTTCCACTTCTGCATCATCTATAGTAATTTTGAACAGCTATTTTTAAAAAAAAAAATAAAATCACCATATTCCTTTTTTCATTTTCAATCCCCAGCATCCAACATAGTACCTGATTCATAGTTGATATTCAATAAATACTTTTTACAAGAATACATGAATGAACAAGTAGACAAACAAAGGGTTTATGGTTATTAAGAAAAACATTAAAAAAGGAAAAATGGATGGAATTTTACATACAGAAGTTTGTTTTCCATCAGAGCCTTGAAAGAAAGAAAAGCTTATAATTTGCAGAAGTAAAATGAAGTTAACAAATCTAATCTAGGTCAGTTTTTTCTTATTGTTGTGTTTTGTTATGAGGTTTTAATGGCATTTAGGTGAGACTAAAGCCATATATCTTCACTTAATGGAAAAAGGGTCAGAAGATACCTTTGGGAACATTTCCTCCACTATTTAAGCGGTGCTAAAGAAGATATTACATATTACCTAAAACATCCCGTGTAAAATGTATTCAAGTTACCCCATATCTAAACAGCCATTATTATATCCTCTGAAGTGGTGAATGAGGCCAGAAATATTCTATAGAGTGAGGTGTCCCTCCTCAAATCACTCCCTGCATTCCCTGGCAGGTGCTGGAGGGAGGGAAGGAGGCCCCTGAGTGACTTAGGATGGTGCCAGCAATTAACACAGTGTAGAGAAAGATTACGCTTGTCTAAATCCTTGTGGTTTCCAGTTAGAGGAACCCAACTCAAATTAAATTGAAAGAAATGGGTGTGAAATTATGGAATTTAAAATTACAGACTTGTTCTTGTCATCACACCTGGATAAGCTCTCATGCTCAAACAATCTTTCTGGGAAACTCTCTTCTCTCTTTCATTCAGTCCTACTTGTGTGATGACTCTGTGCTCATGCAGTTGTCTTTATACGGTAGTGCCAGCTTAATACCCTTTGTATTAGTCCATTTTCACACTGCTATAAAGACACTCCATGGGACTGGGCAATTTATATTAAAAAAAGAGGTTTAATTGACTCACAGTTCTGCGTGGCTGAGAAGGCCTCAGGAAACTTACAATCATGGCGAAAGGCAAAGAAGCAAGCAACTTCTTCAAAAGGCGCAGGAGAGAGAGAGTGAAGAGGAAACTGCCATTTTTGAAACCATCAGATCTCATAAGAACTCTCTCACTATTGCAAGAAGAGCATGGGAAACCTGCCTCCATGATCTATCACCTCCCACCAGGTCCTTCCCTGGGAATTACAATTCAAGATGAGATTTTTGCTGGGGACACAGAGCCAAACTATATCACCCTTATAGCTCATTTTATCAAAACAAACAAACAAACAAAAAAAAAAAAAAGGCAAGACAATCTCTTGCCAAATCATTGTTCCAGATTTGAGTATGTGGCTTAGGTAGAAGTAGGAGGATGTATAACTTCTCTTTGGGAGTAATAATGCAAACTCCTCTTGGGAAACAAACCTTCTTAGGTAACGTAATGGTTCTTCTGGCTATGTAGAATAATTTCTGAAGAACAATTTAAGTAAAATACATAAATGTTAATGGTTTCCTTAATGAAGGCAACTTGCTCCAGGACTCTTTTCTGGTTTAAGTCATGTGCCAGTCTGAGACCACTCACTGCCTCTAGGGTGATGAAGCCATCTAACCTGCCAGGTCATAAGCAAGGTGGCAGGGCCTCATCTCTCATAGCCCCCAAACTTACATGGAGTGAGATATGAAGAATTCCTAGAAGGAGGGAATGTTAGACAGATACAGAACAACAAAAGTACACTCCCACACTGAGGTAACTTGAGATTTATCAAGTTTAATGGGAAAGTAGAGAAAAGAACTTACAAAGTATATTTTTTAAAATAATAAATAAAAATTGAGAAGTCTGACTCCTCTAACTGTACAAAATCTCCATAATGCATGATAGAACTCTTCATGATCTTGACATGTATTTATATAGCCTTATTTGTCTTAATTTCATCTTTGTGCAAAGGTAGAGTATGTCTTATTAAAGCAAAGCGTATATAAACTTTAGAGATATATTTTATTCCAAATATTTAATATTGTCATTAAATGGACTGAGGATAGTCAGATAGTTAGGCAACCCAGCCTCTATTCTTAGTTCTGTAAGTTCTGTGTGTGTGTGTTTTGATTTTATTATCTCCTTATCTTCTTATTGTAGAGGTAAATTACATAATTGCAAAGCCACTATTATGCAGTCAGAAAGCTCACATGGAAGGGACGAATCCAGTATTTGTTCTATGCCTATGGTATTCTGATATATGTTTTGCCCTTTTATATAATTAATTTGACCAAAATGTAGTACACTCTTATTTTATGCCAACACTCAAGACAAACAGTCAAAGGTATAGGCCAGACCTCTTCTCTAATAGGATATAAGTATTTTGGGAATCACTCTGAAGAAAAAATAATCAGGGCAATAAACTAGGGAAATGATGATGGGACAGAAATCACTAACTCATGTTGTAGGTCAGATGGTGCATCTGAAGAGGTAATCTGAAATGTGAGTCATAAAAAGATCTCATACCTAGATCTCCAGAAAGCGGGTTCCAGGCAGTTGGAATCAAAGGTGCTAGAAAGAAGCAAATGATGTGTGAGTCTTTCACAAAGGACACTGTGGCCGAATCATGGTGAAATTTGGGGTAAAGAAGATGACAAGAGAAGTTAAGTTGAGGGCCAGTGATGTATCTTGTAAGTAATGCTAAGGGGTTTTCAGTCTGTGGAACAATTAGAGGGCTGAAACATGGAGAAATATACATATATATATATATGTATATATATATGCACACACAACACAACACACATACATACATATATCCACAAATGTGGAGAAATTTTATATATATACACACATATATATTTTAATATATATTATAACATCATACATTTTAATATCACAAGGACCTTAAGTTTCAAATATTATTATGGCCATTTTATGGATGTGAAAAAATGAAGCTCAGAAGTTCTTGCAGTGACAATTCACTGCCTAGAACAGAATTCAAGATAAGATCCATATGAATAACATTCCCCTTTCCTCTGCTCTACTGTCTCTCACTATAGCCGCTAACTCAGTTCTTTCCTAGAAAGCTAGAACCATGCAATCTGAACAGGAAAAAACACATTGGAGAAAAAAATGAGCATATCCATGGGAGATTAAAAAAATATATATAATCCCCAATCTTCATTTACACACATTTTTTAATTCCTTCTTTTTTTGTTATAATGTTCTTTAAGTCTTTTCAAGCTTGGATATGAAGTTCTTTTATCTTTTTATTTTATTGTTTTTTGAAAACTAAGGTAATTTTAAACATTTTTTGTATTAAACTGAACAATCTGAGTGAAATTCAATAGGCATGAGAAAGATTATCCTATAACCAAGGATCAAGAATTAAAAGTATGATTGAGGTTTTTGTCATATTTTTTAATTATTAGATAGTTGAGCAATAATTTTCAAATGTTTCCTCTTTAGTCCTTGTTCTTAAAGCAGTGTTATCTATAATTAAGGAGATTGGCCTGAATTACTATTTTTACACCTTTTGCTAACATTGCTCAGGAATAAGTAGAATAAATGTGGTATGATTTTTTTTCCCATTTGCTTCCTTTTCTGTTATTTTGAAATTGCTTTAATTCTTTATTATCACACTGCATCAGAGGTGGATTAATTCTGTCTTTTTATCCTTGTCAGTCACACCATATCCAAGATTGCTGATTTCCGCTTTGTCTCCCAGGGGAGGTGGGGGGAGCAGGTAAGCAAAGGATTGCAGTTCTGCTTTTACCAAACACACACACACACACACACACACACAGACACACACACACACACACACACACACACACAGATATTTTACATGAAATGAAAGGGGTCTTGTGGATCTGACAGGCTAGGTTATTAGTCCTGACATGTTTAGCATATCTGCAGATAACACGCATAATGCCATCCTGTAAGGTGATCACATTTTCAGAAGACCAGGAAATGAGAGAAATAACTAAGCTGAAAAATAGAAATAGTATTCAAATGCTTCATTCTAACTTGCAATGATGTGTCACATCCATCTGAATTCCATTTACATTTTAACTATTTCAGGAAGGGCAAAGAAGTCCAGAAAAATAAAAGCACATATAGGGGAGATATTGCTTATGAGGTGAACATTTGAAAAAGGAGAGTTGGATACATGTCAGTGATTTGGTGTGACCACTAGGGAAATCGAAATGGTCTCAGGAGCCTTTCTTTAGATACATGGCTCTAATTGGGATGGGGGGCACACCTGGCATACTGTGTTTAGCTCCAGGAGTCATTCTTCAGAGATAACTGGATGAGGTGGAAACATTGACAAAGAAAGGACATGGAATTGAGAAGGAACTCAATAATCACATTAACCTTCCATGAGTTTTATATTTTTTTACAGAGGGAGCTGAACAATCAGATTGCCTGAGTTGAATTCCCAGATCAATTTTTTGGAGATTTTGGTTTAGTGACCAGATCGGCATATGTAATATCCTCGAGCTTCAGAAAACCTACATGCTTAATTTTTTTCATCTATAAAATGGAAATGTCACATTTCCCAGAGGGTAGCTTTTGCATGAAACAGAAAATACATATAATACAATCAGCATATTACCTAACATATTTGATACAGTCAGTGAAGATTACTCCCATTTCTTTTTCTTTTCATTATAAGTGTTAATTATAGAAGGAAGTTAAGAACAGTGACTCTCAAATGTAGCCATCGGAAAGATGGTTAGGTACAATATGAACACAATAACAAAAAATCAGCCCTTGCGATTGCCCTCAGAAGTTAAGGGCAGCCCCAGTGGCATCACCCTTTAATCTTCTGTGCCATACTCATATCATTTTTCATGTATCTTTTGTCATTAAAAATGATGGGATGCATTTTGTAGACAAGGGAAACAGTAAAGCAAGTTATTTTGAAATGACATCGTAGCAGTAGTGTTAAGAAATCATTTGGCTGGGGATGGTGAGAGAAACATGGGTTATGAGGGTGATCATTAACATAATTTCATGTCTATATTATTACAATATTCAAAGTAGTGGTAATAGAGATGAATGTGACAGCTTTGAGATTCCATTGATGGTGTTTGGATTATTTCACTATAGCATTCTAAAAGTGATCTTTAGCTCACCTCAAACAGGAAAAGAACACATAATTCATGTTTAAGTATTTCAGCAATTTAACTCTTAAAAACTGTAACTTAGTCATATTCAAAGGTAAAAATTATATATAATAATATATAAAATAATATATGTATATATTATATATAATTTATAATATATATAATTCATATATATATATTAGAATCTGTTTCTGACTTGCCAGGCTCCACTGGGGTTACTTACTCCCCTTTTTTCAGATATTCTGTGATCTTATTACTACATCTACCCCAGAAGCTATATGAATTTAAGCAATTGAATGGGAAAAAGGACCATAATCTTTTGATGTCCCAGTTATGTGTATGGTTCAGTACTCGATGCTTTAGACATCTAGTACAGAGGACTCAGACCTCTAGTATGTTATTAACACTTACTCAAGGATTCCCCCAGTGAGTGGAGTGAAGATTTAAACCCAGATCTGTCTGATTCCAAAGTCCATGGTCTTCCTTTCACAACATGGTTCAGTCTACCCCTCATTAAATTTTGCAATTTTAGACTTTTGTCACACATTGTGTAGTGACACACTTTTCCTGGGAGAAACAAATTCATAATGTAATTGAATAGCAAAGGGGCATGTGCTTCAGAGCGGTACTACAGCCCTCCCCTAACTGGGGGCTGTACATGTGCATGTGTGTGCTTATGAATGTGTGTGAGTGTATGTGTGTGGTTATGTGTGTGAGTCTCCAGTGTCCAGTGTGTTGTGAATATAATGGAATTGGAAAGCTCTGTGAAATTCTTGAAATTATATCACCAAAGAATCCGCCTGTCACAAGGGCAGCATCAGAGAAATACCTACAGAGAATAAAAATTAACACTCTCTAAAATAACCTAATTAATACACAAACATATTTTACTAGCAACCAAAATAGGATTTTCATCTTAATCCCTTATTAGAACACAATCGTTCGGCATAGTTTCAAGCCAAGCTAGAAATTAACAAAAAAAGAAAATATTCATGGTTCATTGAAACACCTTCAGATGTTTAACCTTTCTAAAAGTTACTTCTAATGTTCACCACCCAGCAACTGCAGCTGAATGATAAGGAACTAAGGTAGAGACTCGGGAAAAGGAGATTATCAAATATAAACAGTTAATTTGACTACTTTCCTTCAGCTCAATGGGTAACATGGATTTGAGTTTACAGACTTATACCTAATGCCAAAAAAACACTCTTTAGGGGAGGCAGGATGCAGTAGCTTCAAATTAGCCTTTTCTTGGGAATGTATTGTTAAATTTACAGATAGTTATTTAAAATTAAGGCAACTTAAGTTAGAAACATCCTGATTTCCTAAATGCTGACTCCACTTTTTGATGGGATTCAGAGGTCACTGTCTCCTTGGTCTCAGATATCATGGTACCAGTGAATGCCAGCCCCTCCACCACACTGTGCTGGCTGCCTGATGGTTTCCATGTTGCTCTTCCTCATAGCTTTAAATATGGTGTTCTCCGTACCACATACGTTGCAACCGATTTTGAGGCATTTTAATAAAGATCCAATCTTTCCATGTCTCTATTTTAGGACCTGAGACTTCAGTTTATTTAGCAGAGAAGGCTTTAAGTTTTTTCAGGAAAAGGTCAATCTTTCTGGTTGTCTTACTTGCAGAACCTAGGAGTACTGTCTGTGCTGTTGGGTGGGCTTTGAAGTTCATCAGGAAATAGCTAATCCTGCTAGGGGTCTTGCTTGAAGACCCTACACTAGTTGGAGGTAGGTTCCTTT